>NW_003571049.1:0-167313 GCF_000001405.40 Homo sapiens
CTAACCCTAACCCTAACCCTAACCCTAACCCTAACCCTAACCCTAACCCTAACCCTAACCCTAACCCTAACCCTAACCCTAACCCTAACCCTAACCCTAACCCTAACCCTAACCTTAACCCTAACCCTAACCCTAACCCTAACCCTACCCCAACCCTAACCCTAACCCCTAACCCAAACCCCTACCCCAACCCAACCCCTAACCCTAACCCTAACCCTAACCCTAACCCTAACCCTAACCCTAACCCTAACCCTAACCCTAACCCTAACCCTAACCCTACCCCTAACCCTAACCCTAACCCTAACCCCAACCCCAAACCGTAACCCTAACCCTAACCCTAACCCTAACCCCTAACCCTAACCCTAACCCTACCCTAACCCTAACCCTAACCCTAACCCTACCCTAACCCTAACCCTAACCCTAACCCCTAACCCCTAACCCCTAACCCTAACCCTAACCCTACCCTAACCCTAACCCTAACCCTAACCCCAACCCCAACCCCAACCCTAACCCTAACCCTACCCTAACCCTAACCCTAACCCTAACCCTAACCCCAACCCCAACCCTAACCCTAACCCTAACCCTGGCGGTACCCTCAGCCGGCCCGCCCGCCCGGGTCTGACCTGAGGAGAACTCTGCTCCGCCTTCGCAGTACCACCGAAATCTGTGCAGAGGACAACGCAGCTCCGCCCTCGCGGTGCTCTCCGGGTCTGTGCTGAAGAGAACGCAACTCCGCCGGCGCAGGCGCAGAGAGGCGCGCCGCGCCGGCGCAGGCGCAGAGAGGCGCGCCGCGCCGGCGCAGGCGCAGAGAGGCGCGCCGCGCCGGCGCAGGCGCAGAGAGGCGCGCCGCGCCGGCGCAGGCGCAGAGAGGCGCGCCGCGCCGGCGCAGGCGCAGAGAGGCGCGCCGCGCCGGCGCAGGCGCAGAGAGGCGCGCCGCGCCGGCGCAGGCGCAGAGACACATGCTAGCGCGTCCAGGGGAGGAGGCGTGGCGCAGGCGCAGAGACACATGCTAGCGCGCCCAGGGGAGGAGGCGTGGCGCAGGCGCAGAGAGGCGCGCCGCGCCGGCGCAGGCGCAGAGACACATGCTAGCGCGTCCGGGGTGGAGGCGTGGCGCAGGCGCAGAGACGCACGCCTACGGGCGGGGGTTGGGGGGGCGTGTGTTACAGGAGCAAAGTCGCACGGCGCCGGGCTGGGGGCGGGGGGGGGGGGTGGCGCCGTGCACGCGCAGAAACTCACGTCACGGCGGCGCGGCGCAGAGACGGGTGGAACCTCAGTAATCCGAAACGCCGGGATCGACAGCCCCTTGCTTGCAGCCGGGCACTACAGGACCCGCTTGCTCACGGTGCTGTGCCAGGGCGCCCCCTGCTGGCGACTAGGGCAACTGCAGGGCTCTCTTGCTTAGAGTGGTGGCCAGCGCCCCCTGCTGGCGCCGGGGCACTGCAGGGCCCTCTTGCTTACTGTATAGTGGTGGCACGCCGCCTGCTGGCAGCTAGGGACATTGCAGGGTCCTCTTGCTCAAGGTGTAGTGGCAGCACGCCCGCCTGCTGGCAGCTGGGGACACTGCCGGGCCCTCTTGCTCCAACAGTAGTGGCGGATTATAGGGAAACACCCGGAGCATATGCTGTTTGGTCTCAGTAGGCTCCTAAATATGGGATTCCTTGGTTTAAAAGTATAAAATAAATATGTTTAATTTGTTAACTGATTACCATCAGAATTGTACTGTTCTGTATCCCACCAGCAATGTCTAGGAATGCCTGTTTCTCCACAAAGTGTTTACTTTTGGATTTTTGCCAGTCTAACAGGTGAACCCCTGGAGATTCTTCTTAGTGATTTGGGCTGGGGCCTGGCCATGTGTATTTTCTTAAATTTCCACTGATGATTTTGCTGCATGGCCGGTGTTGAGAATGACTGCGCAAATTTGCCGGATTTCCTTTGCTGTTCCTGCATGTAGTTTAAACGAGATTGCCAGCACCGGGTATCATTCACCATTTTTCTTTTCGTTAACTTGCCGTCAGCCTTTTCTTTGACCTCTTCTTTCTGTTCATGTGTATTTGCTGTCTCTTAGCCCAGACTTCCCGTGTCCTTTCCACCGGGCCTTTGAGAGGTCACAGGGTCTTGATGCTGTGGTCTTCATCTGCAGGTGTCTGACTTCCAGCAACTGCTGGCCTGTGCCAGGGTGCAAGCTGAGCACTGGAGTGGAGTTTCCCTGTGGAGAGGAGCCATGCCTAGAGTGGGATGGGCCATTGTTCATCTTCTGGCCCCTGTTGTCTGCATGTAACTTAATACCACAACCAGGCATAGGGGAAAGATTGGAGGAAAGATGAGTGAGAGCATCAACTTCTCTGACAACCTAGGCCACTAAGTAGTGCTTGTGCTCATCTCCTTGGCTGTGATACGTGGCCGGCCCTCGCTCCAGCAGCTGCACCCCTACCTGCCGTCTGCTGCCATCGGAGCCCAAAGCCGGGCTGTGACTGCTCAGACCAGCCAGCTGGAGGGGCTCAGCAGCTCTGGCTTTGGCCCTGGGAGAGCAGGTGGAAGATCAGGCAGGCCATCGCTGCCGCAGAACCCAGTGGATTGGCCTAGGTGGGATCTCTGAGCTCAACAAGGCCTCTCTGTGTGGTAGGTGCAGAGAGGGGAGGGGCAGAGCCGCAGGCACAGCGAAGAGGGCTGAAGAAATGGTAGAACGGAGCAGCTGGTGATGTGTGGGCCCACCGGCCCCAGGCTCCTGTCTCCCCCCAGGTGTGTGGTGATGCCAGGCATGCCCTTCCCCAGCATCAGGTCTCCAGAGCTGCAGAAGACGACGGCCGACTTGGATCACAGTCTTGTGAGTGTCCCCAGTGTTGCAGAGGTGAGAGGAGAGTAGGCGGTGAGTGGGAGTGGTGTCGCCCCTAGGGCTCTGCTGGGCTGGCGTCTCCTGTCTCCTGGGGAGGCTTGGATGCCCCTCCACACCCTCTTGATCTTCCCCGTGATGTCATCTGGAGGCCTGCTGCTTGCAGTGGCCTATAAAGCCTCCTGGTCTGGCTCCAAGGCCTGGCACAGTCTTTCCCAGGGAAAGCTACAAGCAGGAAACAGTCCGCATGGGTCATCCCCTTCACTCCCAGCTCAGAGCCCAGGCCAGGGGCCCCCAAGAAAGGCTCTGGTGGAGAACCTGTGCATGAAGGCTGTCAACCAGTCCATAGGCAAGCCTGGCTGCCTCCAGCTGGGTGGACAGACAGGGGCTGGAGAAGGGGAGAAGAGGAAAGGGGGGCTGCCTGCCCTGTCTCCCACCTGAGGCTGAGGAAGGAAAGGGGGATGCACTGTTGGGGAGGCAGCTGTAACTCAAAGCCTTAGCCTCTGTTCCCACGAAGGCAGGGCCATCAGGCACCAAAGGGATTCTGCCAGCATAGTGCTCCTGGACCAGTGATACACCCGGCACCCTGTCCTGGACAGGCTGTTGGCCTGGATCTGAGCCCTCGTGGAGGTCAAAGCCACCTTTGGTTCTGCCATTGCTGCTGTGTGGAAGTTCACTCCTGCCTTTTCCTTTCCCGAGAGCCTCCACCACCCCGAGATCGCATTTCTCACTGCCTTTTGTCTGCCCAGTTTCACCAGAAGTAGGCCTCTTCCTGACAGGCAGCTGCACCACTGCCTGGCGCTGCGCCCTTCCTTTGCTCTGCCCGCTGGAGACGGTGTTTGTCATGGGCCTGGTCTGCAGGGATCCTGCTACAAAGGTGAAACCCAGGAGAGTGTGGAGTCCAGAGTGTTGCCAGGACCCAGGCACAGGCATTAGTGCCCGTTGGAGAAAACAGGGGAATCCTGAAGAAATGGTGGGTCCTGGCCATCCGTGAGATCTTCCCAGGGCAGCTCCCCTCTGTGGAATCCAATCTGTCTTCCATCCTGCGTGGCCGAGGGCCAGGCTTCTCACTGGGCCTCTGCAGGAGGCTGCCATGTGTCCTGCCCACCTTCTTAGAAGCGAGACGGAGCAGACTCATCTGCTACTGCCCTTTCTATAATAACTAAAGTTAGCTGCCCTGGACTATTCACCCCCTAGTCTCAATTTAAAAAGATCCCCATGGCCACAGGGCACCTGCCTGGGAGCTTGTCACCTCCCCCACCTTCTTCATGAGTCACTCCTGCAGCCTTGCTCCCTAACCTGCCCCACAGCCTTGCCTGGATTTCTATCTCCCTGGCTTGGTGCCAGTTCCTCCAAGTCGATGGCACCTCCCTCCCTCTCAACCACTTGAGCAAACTCCAAGACATCTTCTACCCCAACACCAGCAATTGTGCCAAGGGCCATTAGGCTCTCAGCATGACTATTTTTAGAGACCCCGTGACTGTCACTGAAACCTTTTTTGTGGGAGACTATTCCTCCCATCTGCAACAGCTGCCCCTGCTGACTGCCCTTCTCTCCCAGAGAAACAGGTCAGCTGGGAGCTTCTGCCCCCACTGCCTAGGGACCAACAGGGGCAGGAGGCAGTCACTGACCCCGAGACGTTTGCATCCTGCACAGCTAGAGGTCCTTTATTAAAAGCACACTGTTGGTTTCTGCTCAGTTCTTTATTGATTGGTGTGCCGTTTTCTCTGGAAGCCTCTTAAGAACACAGTGGCGCAGGCTGGGTGGAGCCGTCCCCCCATGGAGCACAGGCAGACAGAAGTCCCCGCCCCAGCTGTGTGGCCTCAAGCCAGCCTTCCGCTCCTTGAAGCTGGTCTCCACACAGTGCTGGTTCCGTCACCCCCTCCCAGGGAAGCAGGTCTGAGCAGCTTGTCCTGGCTGTGTCCATGTCAGAGCAACGGCCCAAGTCTGGGTCTGGGGGGGAAGGTGTCATGGAGCCCCCTAGGATTCCCAGTCGTCCTTGTCCTCGTCTACCTGTGGCTGCTGCGGTGGCGGCAGAGGAGGGATGGAGTCTGACACGCGGGCAAAGGCTCCTCCGGGCCCCTCACCAGCCCCAGGTCCTTTCCCAGAGATGCCTGGAGGGAAAAGGCTGAGTGAGGGTGGTTGGTGGGAAACCCTGGTTCCCCCAGCCCCCAGAGACTTAAATACAGGAAGAAAAAGGCAGGACAGAATTACAAGGTGCCGGCCCAGGGCGGGCAGCGGCCCTGCCTCCTACCCTTGTGCCTCATGACCAGCTTGTTGAAGAGATCCGACATCAAGTGCCCACCTTGGCTCGTGGCTCTCACTGCAACGGGAAAGCCACAGACTGGGGTGAAGAGTTCAGTCACATGCGACCGGTGGCTCCCTGTCCCCACCCCCATGACACTCCCCAGCCCTCCAAGGCCACTGTGTTTCCTAGTTAGCTCAGAGCCTCAGTCGATCCCTGACCCAGCACCGGGCACTGATGAGAAAGCGGCTGTTTGAGGAGCCACCTCCCAGCCACCTCGGGGCCAGGGCCAGGGTGTGCAGCACCACTGTACGATGGGGAAACTGGCCCAGAGAGGTGAGGCAGCTTGCCTGGGGTCACAGAGCAAGGCAAAAGCAGCGCTGGGTACAAGCTCAAAACCATAGTGCCCAGGGCACTGCCGCTGCAGGCGCAGGCATCGCATCACACCAGTGTCTGCGTTCACAACAGGCATCATCAGTAGCCTCCAGAGGCCTCAGGTCCAGTCTCTAAAAATATCTCAGGAGGCTGCAGTGGCTGACCATTGCCTTGGACCGCTCTTGGCTGTCGAAGAAGATTCTCCTGTCACAGTTTGAGCTGGGTGAGCTTAGAGAGGAAAGCTCCACTATGGCTCCCAAACCAGGAAGGAGCCATAGCCCAGGCAGGAGGGCTGAGGACCTCTGGTGGCGGCCCAGGGCTTCCAGCATGTGCCCTAGGGGAAGCAGGGGCCAGCTGGCAAGAGCAGGGGGTGGGCAGAAAGCACCCGGTGGACTCAGGGCTGGAGGGGAGGAGGCGATCTTGCCCAAGGCCCTCCGACTGCAGGCTCCAGGGCCCGCTCACCTTGCTCCTGCTCCTTCTGCTTCTTCTTCTCCAGCTTTCGCTCCTTCATGCTGCGCAGCTTGGCCTTGCCGATGCCCCCAGCTTGGCGGATGGACTCTAGCAGAGTGGCCCAGCCACCGGAGGGGTCGACCACTTCCCTGGGAGCTCCCTGGACTGGAGCCGGGAGGTGGGGAACAGGGCAAGGAGGAAAGGCTGCTCAGGCAGGGCTGGGGAAGCTTACTGTGTCCAAGAGCCTGCTGGGAGGGAAGTCACCTCCCCTCAAACGAGGAGCCCCGCGCTGGGGAGGCCGGACCTTTGGAGACTGTGTGGGGCCTGGGCACTGACTTCTGCAACCACCTGAGCGCGGGCATCCTGTGTGCAGATACTCCCTGCTTCCTCTCTAGCCCCCACCCTGCAGAGCTGGACCCCTGAGCTAGCCATGCTCTGACAGTCTCAGTTGCACACATGAGCCAGCAGAGGGGTTTTGTGCCACTTCTGGATGCTAGGGTTACACTGGGAGATACAGCAGTGAAGCTGAAATGAAAAATGTGTTGCTGTAGTTTGTTATTAGACCCCTTCTTTCCATTGGTTTAATTAGGAATGAGGAACCCAGAGCCTCACTTGTTCAGGCTCCCTCTGCCCTAGAAGTGAGAAGTCCAGAGCTCTACAGTTTGAAAGCCACTATTTTATGAACCAAGTAGAACAAGATATTTGAAATGGAAACTATTCAAAAAATTGAGAATTTCTGACCACTTAACAAACCCACAGAAAATCCACCCGAGTGCACTGAGCACGCCAGAAATCAGGTGGCCTCAAAGAGCTGCTCCCACCTGAAGGAGACGTGCTGCTGCTGCTGTCGTCCTGCCTGGCGCCTTGGCCTACAGGGGCCGCGGTTGAGGGTGGGAGTGGGGGTGCACTGGCCAGCACCTCAGGAGCTGGGGGTGGTGGTGGGGGCGGTGGGGGTGGTGTTAGTACCCCATCTTGTAGGTCTGAAACACAAAGTGTGGGGTGTCTAGGGAAGAAGGTGTGTCAGCAGGGAGGTCCCCGGCACAGCTCCCATCCCAGAACCCAGCTCACCTGCCTTGAGAGGCTCGGCTACCTCAGTGTGGAAGGTGGGCAGTTCTGGAATGGTGCCAGGGGCAGAGGGGGCAATGCCGGGGCCCAGGTCGGCAATGTACATGAGGTCGTTGGCAATGCTGGGCAGGTCAGGCAGGTAGGATGGAACATCAATCTCAGGCACCTGGCCCAGGTCTGGCACATAGAAGTAGTTCTCTGGGACCTGCAAGATTAGGCAGGGACATGTGAGAGGTGACAGGGACCTGCAGGGGCAGCCAACAAGACCTTGTGTGCACCTCCCATGGGTGGAATAAGGGGCCCAACAGCCTTGACTGGAGAGGAGCTCTGGCAAGGCCCTGGGCCACTGCACCTGTCTCCACCTCTGTCCCACCCCTCCCACCTGCTGTTCCAGCTGCTCTCTCTTGCTGATGGACAAGGGGGCATCAAACAGCTTCTCCTCTGTCTCTGCCCCCAGCATCACATGGGTCTTTGTTACAGCACCAGCCAGGGGGTCCAGGAAGACATACTTCTTCTACCTACAGAGGCGACATGGGGGTCAGGCAAGATGACACCCGCTGTCCTGAGCCCATGTTCCTCTCCCACATCATCAGGGGCACAGCGTGCACTGTGGGGTCCCAGGCCTCCCAAGCCGAGCCACCCCAGTCACCCCCTGGCTCCTGGGCTATGTGCTGTACCTGTGTCTGATGCCCTGGGTCCCCACTAAGCCAGGCCGGGCCTCCCGCCCACACCCCTCGGCCCTGCCTTCTGGCCATACAGGTTCTCGGTGGTGTTGAAAAGCAGCAAGGAGCTGACAGAGCTGATGTTGCTGGGAAGACCCCCAAGTCCCTCTTCTGCATCGTCCTCAGGCTCCGGCTTGGTGCTCACGCACACAGGAAATTCCTTCAGCTTCTCCTGGGAGGGCCAGGATGGCCAAGGGATGGTGAATATTTGGTGCTGGGCCTAATCAGCTGCCACCCCATCCCAGTCAGCCTCCTCTGGGGGACAGAACCCTATGGTGGCCCCGGCTCCTCCCCAGTATCCAGTCCTCCTGGTGTGTGACAGGCTAAGTTATGTGCGCAGCCAGCAGACCTGCAGGGCCCGCTCGTCCAGGGGGCGGTGCTTGCTCTGGATCCTGTGGCGGGAGCGTCTCTGCAGGCCAGGGTCCTGGGCGCCCGTGAAGATGGAGCCATATTCCTGCAGGTGCTCTGGAGCAGGGTACTTGGCACTGGAGAACACCTGTGGACACAGGGACAAGTCTGAGGGGGCCCTAAGAGGCTCAGAGGGCTAGGATTGCTTGGCAGGAGAGGGTGGAGTTGGAAGCCTGGGCGAGAAGAAAGCCCAAGGTACAGGTGGGCAGCAGGGCAGAGAATGGGCGGCCTCAGAGGCACGGGGAAAAGTCTCAGGACACAGGGGTATGGGGACTACCTTGATGGCCTTCTTGCTGCCCTTGATCTTCTCAATCTTGGCCTGGGCCAAGGAGACCTTCTCTCCAATGGCCTGCACCTGGCTCCGGCTCTGCTCTACCTGCTGGGAGATCCTGCCATGGAGAAGATCACAGAGGCTGGGCTGCTCCCCACCCCCTGCACACCTCCTGCTTCTAACAGCAGAGCTGCCAGGCCAGGCCCTCAGGCAAGGGCTCTGAAGTCAGGGTCACCTGCTTGCCAGGGCCGATCTTGGTGCCATCCAGGGGGCCTCTACAAGGATAATCTGACCTGCAGGGTCGAGGAGTTGACGGTGCTGAGTTCCCTGCACTCTCAGTAGGGACAGGCCCTATGCTGCCACCTGTACCTGCTATCTGAAGGACAGCCTCCAGGGCACACAGAGGATGGTATTTACACATGCACACATGGCTACTGATGGGGCAAGCACTTCACAACCCCTCATGATCACGTGCAGCAGACAAAGTCGCCTCTGCAGAGGGGGAATGGAGACCGGAGGCTGAGACTGGCAAGGCTGGACCTGAGTGTCGTCACCTAAATTCAGACGGGGAACTGCCCCTGCACATAGTGAACGGCTCACTGAGCAAACCCTGAGTCCCGACCACCGCCTCAGTGTGGTCTAGCTCCTCACCTGCTTCCATCCTCCCTGGTGCGGGGTGGGCCCAGTGATATCGGCTGCCTGCTGTTCCCCAGATGTGCCAAGTGCATTCTTGTGTGCTTGCGTCTCATGGAACGCCATTTCCCCAGACATCCCTGTGGCTGGCTCCTGATGCCCGAGGCCCAAGTGTCTGATGCTTTAAGGCACATCACCCCACTCATGCTTTTCCATGTTCTTTGGCCGCAGCAAGGCCGCTCTCACTGCAAAGTTAACTCTGATGCGTGTGTAACACGACATCCTCCTCCCAGTCGCCCCTGTAGCTCCCCTACCTCCAAGAGCCCAGCCCATGCCCACAGGGCCACACTCCACGTGCAGAGCAGCCTCAGCACTCACCGGGCACGAGCGAGCCTGTGTGGTGCGCAGGGATGAGAAGGCAGAGGCGCGACTGGGGTTCATGAGGAAAGGGAGGGGGAGGATGTGGGATGGTGGAGGGGCTGCAGACTCTGGGCTAGGGAAAGCTGGCATGCCTCTAAAGGTTGGAATGAATGGCCTAGAACCGGACCCAATAAGCCAAAGCCACTTCCACCAACGTTAGAAGGCCTTGGCCCCCAGAGAGCCAATTTCACAATCCAGGAGTCCCCGTGCCCTAATGGGTCTGCCCTGATTACTCCTGGCTCCTTGTGTGCAGGGGGCTCAGGCATGGCAGGGCTGGGAGTACCAGCAGGCACTCAAGCGGCTTAAGTGTTCCATGACAGACTGGTATGAAGGTGGCCACAATTCAGAAAGAAAAAAGAAGAGCACCATCTCCTTCCAGTGAGGAAGCGGGGCCACCACCCAGCGTGTGCTCCATCTTTTCTGGCTGGGGAGAGGCCTTCATCTGCTGTAAAGGGTCCTCCAGCACAAGCTGTCTTAATTGACCCTAGTTCCCAGGGCAGCCTCGTTCTGCCTTGGGTGCTGACACGACCTTCGGTAGGTGCATAAGCTCTGCATTCGAGGTCCACAGGGGCAGTGGGAGGGAACTGAGACTGGGGAGGGACAAAGGCTGCTCTGTCCTGGTGCTCCCACAAAGGAGAAGGGCTGATCACTCAAAGTTGTGAACACCAAGCTCAACAATGAGCCCTGGAAAATTTCTGGAATGGATTATTAAACAGAGAGTCTGTAAGCACTTAGAAAAGGCCGCAGTGAGTCCCAGGGGCCAGCACTGCTCGAAATGTACAGCATTTCTCTTTGTAACAGGATTATTAGCCTGCTGTGCCCGGGGAAAACATGCACCACAGCGCATCTCGAGTCAGCCGGATTTTGACGGCTTCTAACAGAATCTTGTAGACAAGATGGAGCTATGGGGGTTGGAGGAGAGAACATATAGGAAAAATCAGAGCCAAATGAACCACAGTCCCAAAGGGCACAGTTGAACAATGGACTGATTCCAGCCTTGCACGGAGGGATCTGGCAGAGTCCATCCAGTTCATTCAACACCTGGTTAGAAAACTGGGGCCAGCACACAGGGGAAGGGTAAGCTGGTTTCATGATCGAATCAAGGCTCAGACAATTTTTAAAGGCCAGAGGGTAGACTGCAATCACCAAGATGAAATTTACAGGGAACAAATGTGAAGCCCAACATTTAGGTTTTAAAAATCAAGCGTATAAATACAGAAGGTGGAGGGAACTTGTTTTAGACACAGTTCAGGTGAAGAAAGACCTGGAAACTTCTGTTAACTATAAGCTCAGTAGGGGCTAAAAGCATGTTAATCGGCATAAAAAGGCAATGAGATCTTAGGGCACACAGCTCCCCACCCCTCTTCTGCCCTTCATCCTTCTTTCAATCAGCAGGGACCGTGCACTCTCTTGGAGCCACCACAGAAAACAGAGCCCTGGACTCATGAACGAATCCATGCCAGGCACCAGTCTCAGCCACAGTCACATCCCTTTAAACTGGATCCACACAGTAAGAGGACTCTGAACTCCCCTGCAGACTGCGAAGTCAGCCTCATTCACTGCTAAGTCTCTAGCACCTGGGATGGGGCCTGATGTGTAACAGCCGCTGGCTGAACAGAAAGTGACAGATGAGCAAACATCTCAAGAAGGGTAATGAGGATGGTGATGAGCGAGAAACTCCCGACATGTGAAGATAACTGAAGGATGTTCTGGCTAAAGATCAGAAGACTTTGAGAATATGATCATTCCCTTCGAATATCAAAATATCCAAAGGGCTGTCAGGTGGAGAAGTGAGTAAACTTGTATCAGGAATAGCGGGCAGAGTTGCAAGGAAACAGATCTCTGTTCTGTTAAAAAAAAAAATTCCATAAACTGCATCACTTTGCAGAGCAATTAGGTTCCAGCTCACAAGCGCCTTCCGGGGGTGCCCCAAGGGTGAATCCTGCCTAAGGTGGAGGTAGAAGACATGACCCTGGGACTCTTTCCTTAGCCAAGAGCCCATGAGACTAAGGAACATCGTGCTTCTTGACAAAGCCCCCGGACAGTCTATTCTCTTACGGTCACAGGCTATGGTGCCGAGGACAAGTGCAGACTCAGGATCAGAAAGCTTGCAGCGTATCTGCTATCTCCATGGACTAGCAGGATGGTCTGGAAGGCTGTGTCGGGAAGGCCCTTAGGCCTCACTGGGGCCAGGCCGTTGATGAACAATGTCCACCCTGAGGGTGGGGGAATGGTGCCATTTGTTTGTCATTCCTGGTCCAGACGCCCTTGGCTTGGTGGCCTACTTCAAGGTAGGTCAGTTTACAAGCTCAGTGCTGAAGCCATACCCTATGGCACGCTCACCCAGCACTAGAGAGGAAGCTGCCTCTGTGGACATCAGGGACGGAAGTGGCTCACCCAGCCTGTTCTGCGCGTGGTCTCACTAAGGGTCCATCTTCCTCTATCTGCCCCGGAGAGGACCATCTCCAAGCATCCCTTGCTTTCCTTCTCCCCCCTCCACCCCTCACTGTTCAATAACCAGAGTGCATCCCATTTGTAGAGCACATGCTGGGGCCGTGGGAGTCAAAGACGAATCAGACGACACACATCCACATTCAAAGGGACTCAGGGCTCCTGGGGAAGTAAGAAATGAATATCAATAACCACAACATCCCACAGGCCTGGGTTTCACATCTGTTTAGCAGCAGTGTGACCCTGGGGAGGTCACTAACTGGTCTTTGCCTCAGCTTCTTCCACTGAAAAACAGGAATGGTCCCTTCTCCATCATGGGATTACTGTGAAGGTGAGAAGGAGCTGATCATGGCCCATCAACATCAGCACACCAGTCCCCCTAGAGGCTGCTGGGGAGGAAGAAGCAGGGAGCACCCACTCCTGACCCAGATTCACATTCACTGCTTCTCCTCCCCTGCCTCTGTCATGACCCCAGGGAAGCAGACGCTGAACCTGGGCTCTTGCCTTCACCTTTATCTTCTCCACTCTGGGATAATTAAGAATGACTTGCTAATTATGCAGTGATCTAGTGCAATGTGTAACCTTCGGGGCCACCAGGTGCCAATCGGTAGAGAGAACAGGGGAGAAGGAAGGATGGAGGAAGCGAGGACAAGGGGAAAGGGGAAAGGAGGAAGGGGAGAAGAAAGGAAGAGGTGGGGAAAAGGACAAAGAGATGGAGGAAAGGACCAAGAGCTTCGCAGAGAAAATCACCCTTCCCAGGGGGAAGGTGCTGGGCAGTGGCACTGCCTCTTGGGGGAAGAGGTTGGGCAGGGGCTGACGGGCAATGGCAGATGACAGCATCCAAACTTCCACACACAGAGTCTGTTCCTTCCTCTTCCCCGTGCCATCCCAACTCCCTTCTGCCTTGTCATCTACGTCATGGGAAGCAGGTGACATATCTGGCAAGTTATTTTGGGGGCCTGGCTTCTCCCAGGTGAAGAGGGAGCAGCAGCTGGAGGGGCAGAAAGAGGGGACAGGGAGGGGCTGGAGGGCACAGCTGAAGACAGCCTGGGAGGTGACTGTCATCCCCTCCAGTCTCTGCACACTCCCGGCTGCAGCAGAGCAGGAGGAGAGAGCACGGCCTGGAATGCTAATTTGCCAGGAGCTCACCTGCCTGCGTCACTGGGCACAGACGCCAGTGAGGCCAGAGGCCGGGCTGTGCTGGGGCCTGAGATGGGGTGGTGGGGAGAGAGTCTCTCCCCTGCCCCTGTCTCTTCCGTGCAGGAGGAGCATGTTTAAGGGGAAGGGTTCAAAGCTGGTCACATCCCCAACAAAAAAGCCCACGGACAACGAAAAGCCCACTCGCTTGTCCAGTGCCACAGGAGGGGGCAAGTGGAGGAGGAGAGGTGGCGGTGCTCCCCACTCCACTGCCAGTCGTCACTGGCTCTCCCTTCCCTTCATCCTCGTTCCCTATCTGTCACCATTTCCTGTCGTCGTTTCCTCTGAATGTCTCACCCTGCCCTCCCTGCTTGCAAGTCCCCTGTCTGTAGCCTCACCCCTGTCGCATCCTGACTACAATAACAGCTTCTGGGTGTCCCCGGCATCCACTCTCTCTCCCTTCTTATCCCTTCCGTGACGGATGCCTGAGGAACCTTCCCCAAACTCTTCTGTCCCATCCCTGCCCTGCTCAAAATCCAATCACAGCTCCCTAACGCTCCTGAATCAACGTGAAGTCCTGTCTTGAGTAATCCGTGGGCCCTAACTCACTCATCCCAACTCTTCACTCACTGCCTTGCCCCACACCCTGCCAGGGAGCCTCCCGTGGCACCGTGGGGACACAAAGGAACCAGGGCAAAGCTCCCTCAGCCCCATTCAAAGAGGCCTGGCCCACAGGCTCACGGAAAGTCAGCCTCTCATGCCCCGAGAGCTGAGTGCAAGGGAGAGGCAGCGCTGTCTGTGCTTCCCATGCAGAAGCTCCCCCCTCCCACCCCTGTGCAGGCCGGCCTTCGCGGCAGACCACCATACACCACGTTCCAAGCCACACTGAGGCCTCCCTCCAAGCCTGCAGCCCCCATTTCCAGACCCCACCAGGGCAACCTGCATATCCACCTCCCTACCCTGCCCCCCTCTTCCAGGAGTCTGCCCTATGTGGAGTAAGCAAGTGGTTTTACTCTTCAGCAACTATTTCCTTTTTACTCAAGCAATGGCCCCATTTCCCTTGGGGAATCCATCTCTCTCGCAGGCTTAGTCCCAGAGCTTCAGGTGGGGCTGCCCACAGAGCTCCTCAGTCTAAGCCAAGTGGTTGTGTCATAGTCCCCTGGCCCCATTAATGGATTCTGGGATAGACATGAGGACCAAGCCAGGTGGGATGGGTGAGTGTGGCTTCTGGAGGAAGTGGGGACACAGGAGAGCATTCTTTCCTGCTGGACCTGACCCTGTGTCGTGTCACCTTGCTACCACGACAGCATGGCCTGTCTGGGAATGCAGCCAGACCCAAAGAAGCAAACTGACATGGAAGAAAAGCAAAACCAGGCCCTGAGGACATCATTTTAGCCCTTACTCCGAAGGCTGCTCTACTGATTGGTTAATTTCTGCTTAGCTTGGTTTGGGGAGTTCTGACAGGCGTGCCACCAATTCTTACCGATTTCTCTCCACTCTAGACCCTGAGAAGCCCACGCGGTTCATGCTAGCAATTAACAATCAATCTCGCCCTATGTGTTCCCATTCCAGCCTCTAGGACACAGTGTCAGCCACATAATTGGTATCTCTTAAGGTCCAGCACGAGGTGGAGCACATGGTGGAGAGACAGATGCATTGACCTGGAACCCAGGAGTGAGGGAGCCAGGACTCAGGCCCAAGGCTCCTGAGAGGCATCTGGCCCTCCCTGCGCTGTGCCAGCAGCTTGGAGAACCCACACTCAATGAACGCAGCACTCCACTACCCAGGAAATGCCTTCCTGCCCTCTCCTCATCCCATCCCTGGGCAGGGGACATGCAACTGTCTACAAGGTGCCAAGTACCAGGACAGGAAAGGAAAGATGCCAAAAATCCAGCGCTGCCCTCAGAGAAGGGCAACCACGCAGTCCCCATCTTGGCAAGGAAACACAATTTCCGAGGGAATGGTTTTGGCCTCCATTCTAAGTGCTGGACATGGGGTGGCCATAATCTGGAGCTGATGGCTCTTAAAGACCTGCATCCTCTTCCCTAGGCGTCCCTCAGGCACATTTAGCACAAAGATAAGCACAAAAGGTGCATCCAGCACTTTGTTACTATTGGTGGCAGGTTCATGAATGGCAACCAAAGGCAGTGTACGGGTCAAGATTATCAACAGGGAAGAGACAGCATTTCCTGAAGGCTTCCTAGGTGCCAGGCACTGTTCCATTCCTTTGCATGTTTTGATTAATTTAATATTTACAATAATTCTACCAGGAAGCTACCATTATTACCACAACTTCACAAATGAGAACACCGAGGCTTAGAGGGGTTGGGTTGCCCAAGGTTACAGAGGAAGAAAACAGGGGAGCTGGATCTGAGCCAAGGCATCAACTCCAAGGTAACCCCTCAGTCACTTCAGTGTGTGTCCCCTGGTTACTGGGACATTCTTGACAAGCTTGGGGCAAGCCGGTGAGTCAGTGGGGGAGGACTTTCAGGAAGAGGTGGGTTCCCAGTTGGTGACAGAAGAGGAGGCTGCAAAGTGAAGGAGCAGGGGCTCCAGGTCTGGCGACAACCAGGGAAGGGACAGGGCAGGGATGGCTTGGACCACGAGAGGCACCTGAGTCAGGCAGTCACATACTTCCCGCTGGGGTCTACCATGTGAGGCATGGTGTGGGATCCTGGGAAGGAGACCAAGCCTCATTTCAGTTTGCTTATGGCCAAAGACAGGACCTGTGTACCCGACAACCCCTGGGACCTTTGCCAAAAAAACAGCAAACACCATTCACTCACTCATGTAAGATAAACACTGAGTGAAGTCACTGGAGCCCAAGGACTGTGCGAGGTCAGCGCTGCCAATACAAGAAGCTGCACCCCTCCAGCTCGCCTCCCTCAATGGCCACTCCGTGCTCCAGCCATGCTGGCTTCCTTTTAGGTCCTCCACCTCCAGGCTGTAGTTCATGTGCTTCTTTCTGGAATGTTCTTCCCAACCCACCCACTCAACCCTCAGACTTTACCATAAATGTCATTTCCTCACATCTGCCTTCCCTGACCTGAGACCAAGCCAGGCTTCCCATGACGAGCCTCACAGTACCCCATCTCCCCTGAACAGATGCAGTAATAACCTACGTAACCCGGGGCCATGATCTATGGCTTTGAATCCTGGCTCTGTCACTAGGCCAGGTCTCTCAGCCTTTCTGTGCCTCAGTTTCCTCATCTGTAAAATGAGATGACGGCAGTGCCTGCTCATGAAGTGTGAGTTAATGCACTCAAATCAATGGTGGTGCACGGTTTATATGAATATTAGTGATTACAAAATATTATCAATAGACCTTGTCACAACTGTTATTGAAGAACTAATCATCTATTGCTTATTTAGGTCTTTCTCTCCTGCCAGAATGTGCGCTCCAGGTGGAGAGGTATGTTGCCTTATCCATGGCTGGATATATAGAGATTCCCACACTGCCTTGCACACGAGCACTGCTGGGTAAATATTTGTTGGCTGCAGGAAAACGTGAAGGAATAGGCCCTCCAATGGGAGGAAAAGCATGAGTTGTGAGAGCAGAGCCACCACAGGAAACCAGGAGGCTAAGTGGGGTGGAAGGGAGTGAGCTCTCGGACTCCCAGGAGTAAAAGCTTCCAAGTTGGGCTCTCACTTCAGCCCCTCCCACACAGGGAAACCAGATGGGTTCCCCAGGACCAGGATTCCCCAAGGGGGCTGCTCCCAGAGGGTGTGTTGCTGGGATTGCCCAGGACAGGGATGGCCCTCTCATCAGGTGGGGGTGAGTGGCAGCACCCACCTGCTGAAGATGTCTCCAGAGACCTTCTGCAGGTACTGCAGGGCATCCGCCATCTGCTGGACGGCCTCCTCTCGCCGCAGGTCTGGCTGGATGAGGGGCACGGCATAGGTCTGACCTGCCAGGGAGTGCTGCATCCTCACAGGAGTCATGGTGCCTGTGGGTCGGAGCCGGAGCATCAGAGCCACCCACGACCACCGGCACGCCCCCACCACAGGGCAGCGTGGTGTTGAGACAACACAGCCCTCATCCCAACTATGCACATAGCTTCAGCCTGCACAGATAGGGGAGTAGGGGACAGAGCATTTGCTGAGAGGCCAGGAGCGCATAGATGGGACTCTGCTGATGCCTGCTGAGTGAATGAGGGAAAGGGCAGGGCCAGGGACTGGGGAATCTCTAGGGTCAATGGAGGAGTTCAGAGAAGGTGCAACATTTCTGACCCCCTACAAGGTGCTTGCTACCTGCCAGGCACCCTTTCCATACCTTGTCTCAGTTCAGCTCCCCACCTTGGATAAACAAGAAACCTTGGTTGCAGAGGAAAAAAGAGGCTGGAAACAAAGGGGTAGAAATGGGGTAGCGGGGGAGATTGCCTGATCAACTGCCAAATGGTACACAGTTCTGGAAAAGCACAAAAAATGTGCACACACGGGTTCTTCCCACTTTAACCCCTGAGGAATTTGAGGTCTGCTCCTGAAACAGACTGGGCAGTGGCTAGTGACTCTAGGTATAGGAGTATCCAGCCCTGCTCACCCAGGCTAGAGCTTAGGGGGCCAAGAGGAAAGAGGTGCCTGTGGGGGTGGAGGACAGGAAGGAAAAACACTCCTGGAATTGCACAGTGAGGGGAGAGTCTATTTATATTGGGTTTAATTAACTCCTCTCCCTGGTGCCACTACAGCAGCAATCACACTGCAGACAGCACTGATTTGATTGGCAAGAGATGCACCAGGCAGAATATTAAGGGACCAGGCCCCTATAAATAGGCCTAATCACAGCCCCTCGCTGGAAAATGGTAAGGAAGACATTAATCAGGCCTGGCACTATGCCCTAGACCTGCTCCCCTAGGCACTACAGTGGGGCCCTTGGTTGCAACACAAGTAGGTAGGGATGGATGAGTGTGGCATGAAGGGCCTAGGAGATTTCATTTGGGTTTAAAATGCTGTGACCTTGAGTAAGTTGCCGTCTCTGAATCTGATCCTTTCGATTTCCCATTCTCCAAACTGAGAACTAGCACTGCTGAGACGTGGTTATTCCCAATAATAATTTGTATATTTTACATAACATACCACACCGGATTCACCCAGCTGAAGCCTACTCCTTTGCTCCCCCTGCTGGCTTCCCCAGCCCTCCCTTCTGCCCTCCTCAGGCCAGCACTTTTCAGTGAGTTCCTCCTTTGCATACAGGCTTTCCAGATCTGTACTTGCCTAGAATACTCATCAGAGCCCAGGAGTTACTCCTCACCTCGCACTTATTTTTCCTCCCATCAAATAACTAAAGCATGGCCAGCTGATGCCCAGCCAACTGAGAAACCTAACCCTCTGAGACCAGCACACCCCTTTCAAGCATGTTCCTCCCTCCCCTTCTTTGTATTTATACTGATGCAAGTTTGCTGGCTGTCCTAACTTATTTCTGTGCCTCAGTTCTCCCATATGTAAGATCACAAAGGGGGTAAAGATGCAAGATATTTCCTGTGCACATCTTCAGATGAATTTCTTGTTAGTGTGTGTGTGTTTGCTCACACATATGCGTGAAAGAAGAGTACATACACAGATCTCCTCAAAAAGGAGACAGCAAGCCCGTTCAAGAATGGGACTGAATACACCTGATGAGTGGTTTACTTTCTGTCTGCAAACATCTACTGATCATCTGTTAGGTGCAGACCATGATCACAACAAAGACGAATAAGACACTACACTAGCCAGGGAGAGTCTCAAAAACAACTAAACTCAAATTAAATTCATTCTACTCCAGTCATGAGTACAAAGCTAAGGAGTGACAAATCCCTCTTGGAGTTAGGGGAGTCAGGAAAAAGCTCTTAGCAGAATGTGTGCCTCTCGGCCGGGCGCAGCGGCTCACGCCTGTAATCCCAGCACTTTGGGAGGCGAAGGCAGGCAGATCACCTGAGGTCGGGAGTTCGAGACCAGTCTGACCAACATGGTGAAACTCCATCTCTACTAAAAATACAAAATTAGCCAGGCGTGGTGGTGCATGCCTGTAATCCCCGCTACTCGGGAGGCTGAGGAAGGAGAATCACTTGAACCAGGGAGGTGGAGGTTGCAGTGTGCCAAGATCGCGCCATGGCACTCCAGCCTAGGCAACAAGGGTGAACCAGGTCCAGGAAGAAGGTGCAAAGACAGCATTCCAGGTAAAAGAAACAGCTTGAACAAAAAGTGTGTAGGGGAACCGCAAGCGGTCTTGAGTGCTGAGGGTACAATCATCCTTGGGGAAGTACTAGAAGAAAGAATGATAAACAGAGGCCAGTTTGTTAAAAACACTCAAAATTAAAGCTAGGAGTTTGGACTTGTGGCAGGAATGAAATCCTTAGACCTGTGCTGTCCAATATGGTAGCCACCAGGCACATGCAGCCACTGAGCACTTGAAATGTGGATAGTCTGAATTGAGATGTGCCATAAGTGTAAAATATGCACCAAATTTCAAAGACTAGAAAAAAAGAATGTAAAATATCTTATTATTTTATATTGATTACATGCTAAAATAACCATATTTGGGATATACTGGATTTTAAAAATATATCACTAATTTCATCTGTTTCTTTTTACTTTTAGAAATCACATATGTGACTTAAATATTTCTTTTCTTTTTCTTTCCTCTCACTCAGCGTCCTGTGATTCCAAAGAAATGAGTCTCTGCTGTTTTTGGGCAGCAGATATCCTAGAATGGACTCTGACCTAAGCATCAAAATTAATCATCATAACGTTATCATTTTATGGCCCCTTCTTCCTATATCTGGTAGCTTTTAAATGATGACCATGTAGATAATCTTTATTGTCCCTCTTTCAGCAGACGGTATTTTCTTATGCTACAGTATGACTGCTAATAATACCTACACATGTTAGAACCATTCTGACTCCTCAAGAATCTCATTTAACTCTTATTATCAGTGAATTTATCATCATCCCCTATTTTACATAAGGAAATGGGGTTAGAAAGACCAAATAACATTTTTTCAACATCAAAACACTAGCTTGAGATCAAGCCCAGACTTGGATCTGTCGTCTGAATTCCAAGCTTTTTGTTATTGATATGTTTTGTTGTTTTCATGCAATAATGCAAATCTTAGCCCAAACATTTTGTTAGTAGTACCAACTGTAAGTCACCTTATCTTCATACTTTGTCTTTATGTAAACCTAAATTAGATCTGTTTTTGATACTGAGGGAAAAACAAGGGAATCTAACACTAACCAGCCCGTAGTGTGTGGTCAACACTTTCGTTACTTTAGTATACATCACCCCAATTGTTTGTCTTCACCACACACTTTGGAGTTAGGTAGTAGTATCTATTTTTACAAATAAGAAAACCCAGGCACAAAGGGGTTGATTAGCAATTATCTTTTGAAAAGCCTGTAGTTGCTCATCTGAAGAAGTGACGGACCACCTCTTATTTAGTGGACAGACAGTAACTAGTTGAGAAGACAGGGGATTTTGTTGGCGGAAAAAAAATTTTATCAAAAGTCGTCTTCTATCAGGGAGTTTTATGAGAAACCCTAGCTCCTCAGTTCCACAGTGGGTAACTGTAATTCATTCTAGGTCTGCGATATTTCCTGCCTATCCATTTTGTTAACTCTTCAATGCATTCCACAAATACCTAAGTATTATTTAATAATGGTGGGTTTTTTTTTTTTGCATCTATGAAGTTTTTTCAAATTCTTTTTAAGTGACAAAACTTGTACATGTGTATCGCACAATATTTCTAGTCGACAGCACTGCTTTACAGAATGTAAACCGTGCACTCCCAGGAAAATGCAGACACAGCACGCCTCTTTGGGACCGCGGTTTATACTTTCGAAGTGCTCGGAGCCCTTCCTCCAGACCGTTCTCCCACACCCCGCTCCAGGGTCTCTCCCGGAGTTACAGGCCTCGCTGTAGGCCCCGGGAACCCAACGCGGTGTCAGAGAAGTGGGGTCCCCTACGAGGGACCAGGAGCTCCGGGCGGGCAGCAGCTGCGGAAGAGCCGCGCGAGGCTTCCCAGAACCCGGCCGGGGCGGGAAGACGCAGAAGTGGGGAGGCGGAACCGGGACCCCGCAGAGCCCGGGTCCCTGCGCCCCACAAGCCTTGGCTTCCCTGCTAGGGCCGGGCAAGGCCGGGTGCAGGGCGCGGCTCCAGGGAGGAAGCTCCGGGGCGAGCCCAAGACGCCTCCCGGGCGGTCGGGGCCCAGCGGCGGCGTTCGCAGTGGAGCCGGGCACCGGGCAGCGGCCGCGGAACACCAGCTTGGCGCAGGCTTCTCGGTCAGGAACGGTCCCGGGCCTCCCGCCCGCCTCCCTCCAGCCCCTCCGGGTCCCCTACTTCGCCCCGCCAGGCCCCCACGACCCTACTTCCCGCGGCCCCGGACGCCTCCTCACCTGCGAGCCGCCCTCCCGGAAGCTCCCGCCGCCGCTTCCGCTCTGCCGGAGCCGCTGGGTCCTAGCCCCGCCGCCCACAGTCCGCCCGCGCCTCCGGGTCCTAACGCCGCCGCTCGCCCTCCGCTGCGCCCTCCCCGAGCGCGGCTCCAGGACCCCGTCGACCCGGAGCGCTGTCCTGTCGGGCCGAGTCGCGGGCCTGGGCACGGAACTCACGCTCACTCCGAGCTCCCGACGTGCACACGGCTCCCATGCGTTGTCTTCCGAGCGTCAGGCCGCCCCTACCCGTGCTTTCTGCTCTGCAGACCCTCTTCCCAGACCTCCGTCCTTTGTCCCATCGCTGCCTTCCCCTCAAGCTCAGGGCCAAGCTGTCCGCCAGCCTCGGCTCCTCCGGGCAGCCCTTGCCCGGGGTGCGCCCCGGGGCAGGACCCCCAGCCCAGGCCCAGGGCCCGCCCCTGCCCTCCAGCCCTACGCCTTGACCCGCTTTCCTGCGTCTCTCAGCCTACCTGACCTTGTCTTTACCTCTGTGGGCAGCTCCCTTGTGATCTGCTTAGTTCCCACCCCCCTTTAAGAATTAAATAGAGAAGCCAGACGCAAAACTACAGATATCGTATGAGTCCAGTTTTGTGAAGTGCCTAGAATAGTCAAAATTCACAGAGACAGAAGCAGTGGTCGCCAGGAATGGGGAAGCAAGGCGGAGTTGGGCAGCTCGTGTTCAATGGGTAGAGTTTCAGGCTGGGGTGATGGAAGGGTGCTGGAAATGAGTGGTAGTGATGGCGGCACAACGGTGTGAATCTACTTAATCCCACTGAACTGTATGCTGAAAAATGGTTTAGACGGTGAATTTTAGGTTATGTATGTTTTACCACAGTTTTTAAAAAGCTAGTGAAAAGCTGGTAAAAAGAAAGAAAAGAGGCTTTTTTAAAAAGTTAAATATATAAAAAGAGCATCATCAGTCAAGTCCAGCAGTTGTCCCTCCTGGAATCCGTTGGCTTGCCTCCGGCATTTTTGGCCCTTGCCTTTTAGGGTTGCCAGATTAAAAGACAGGATGCCCAGCTAGTTTGAATTTTAGATAAACAACGAATAATTTCGTAGCGTAAATATGTCCCAAGCTTAGTTTGGGACATACTTATGCTAAAAAACATTATTGGTTGTTTATCTGAGATTCAGAATTAAGCATTTTATATTTTATTTGCTGCCTCTGGCCACCCTACTCTCTTCCTAACACTCTCTCCCTCTCCCAGTTTTGTCCGCCTTCCCTGCCTCCTCTTCTGGGGGAGTTAGATCGAGTTGTAACAAGAACATGCCACTGTCTCGCTGGCTGCAGCGGGTGGTCCCCTTACCAGAGGTAAAGAAGAGATGGATCTCCACTCATGTTGTAGACAGAATGTTTATGTCCTCTCCAAATGCTTATGTTGAAACCCTAACCCCTAATGTGATGGTATGTGGAGATGGGCCTTTGGTAGGTAATTACGGTTAGATGAGGTCATGGGGTGGGGCCCTCATTATAGATCTGGTAAGAAAAGAGAGCATTGTCTCTGTGTCTCCCTCTCTCTCTCTCTCTCTCTCTCTCTCTCTCATTTCTCTCTATCTCATTTCTCTCTCTCTCTCTATCTCATTTTTCTCTCTCTCTCTTTCTCTCCTCTGTCTTTTCCCACCAAGTGAGGATGCGAAGAGAAGGTGGCTGTCTGCAAACCAGGAAGAGAGCCCTCACCGGGAACCCGTCCAGCTGCCACCTTGAACTTGGACTTCCAAGCCTCCAGAACTGTGAGGGATAAATGTATGATTTTAAAGTCGCCCAGTGTGTGGTATTTTGTTTTGACTAATACAACCTGAAAACATTTTCCCCTCACTCCACCTGAGCAATATCTGAGTGGCTTAAGGTACTCAGGACACAACAAAGGAGAAATGTCCCATGCACAAGGTGCACCCATGCCTGGGTAAAGCAGCCTGGCACAGAGGGAAGCACACAGGCTCAGGGCTCTGCTATTCATTCTTTGTGTGACCCTGGGCAAGCCATGAATGGAGCTTCAGTCACCCCATTTGTAATGGGATTTAATTGTGCTTGCCCTGCCTCCTTTTGAGGGCTGTAGAGAAAAGATGTCAAAGTATTTTGTAATCTGGCTGGGCGTGGTGGCTCATGCCTGTAATCCCAGCACTTTGGTAGGCTGACGCGAGAGGACTGCTTGAGCCCAAGAGTTTGAGATCAGCCTGGGCAATATTGTGAGATTCCATCTCTACAAAAATAAAATAAAATAGCCAGTCATGGTGTCACACACCTGTAGTCCCAGCTACATGGGAGGCTGAGGTGGGAGGATCACTTGAGCTTGGGAGATCGAGGCTGCAGTGAGCTATGATTGTACCACTGCACTCCAGGCTGGGCGACAGAGAGAGACCCTGTCTCAGAAAAAAAAAAAAAGTACTTGGTAATCTGTAAGGTTTATTTCAACACACACAAAAAAAGTGTATATGCTCCACGATGCCTGTGAATATACACACACACCACATCATATACCAAGCCTGGCTGTGTCTTCTCACAAATGCACTGCTAGGCACCACCCCCAGTTCTAGAATCACACCAGCCAGTTCACCCTCCAGATGGTTCACCCTCAACTTCATAAAAGTTCCCTACCTAATCTACTGACAGGCGCATCCCCGACCTTATTTTAAAGATTTCCTAGGAGCTGCAATGGGAATCCTGGACCTCAGCCTGGACAAAGAACAGCTGCAGGTCATTCTCATGTGTGGACACGGAAGCCCTGCCTGCCTTTGCTGGCCAGCTGGGCTGAGTGGGCCTGGGAAATTAAGGCTGCAGGGTTGGTCCCAGGCAGTCTTGCTGAAGCTTGCCACATCCCCCAGCCTCCTGGATTTGCCAGGATCCAAGAGCATGGACTTTAGGAATTCCTGGTGGAGGAGTGAAGAAAATGTGACAGGGTGTCCTAAGCCCCGATCTACAGGAAGAAAACTGGAAATAAGACTGAGGACTTAGTTTAAGATGTTCCTACTCAGCCTCTAGCTTTTGTGCTACAGTTCCGGGAACAGACTCCTCTCTCCTGAAAACCACTTCCCTCCGCAGCATTAAATTTCACCAAGATGTCTTGCTTGTGGGAAAGACTTCCAAGGATGCCTGGAGAGAGGAGGATGGAAATGTCCTGCTCTCTAAACAGATAGACAGATGCAGCCAGACAGAAAATAGTTTATCTTGCTGAGGTTTCTAATGTATTTGAAAGAGGCCTGGGTCTAGAAGTCTACCCAGAGGGCTCTGTGTTGTGCACGCAAAGATAAGAACCTTCCCTGTGGGAGTTCCAGAGCCAGTTTTCATAAACACCCATCGGTGACTGTGTTCAGAGTGAGTTCACACCATCCTGACCTGCCCTGAGTTAGACCTTACATGGTCTTCCTCCTCTAGGAAGCCTCTGCAGCCCAGGAACCTCCCCTTATCTGAAATGAACAGCATTTGAAGCTTCACCAGACAGACCAGACAGCTTGGCCCTCGTGTTGTGCTATGTGGGTTGTTCTCTGAGAGGCAGGAGAGCATAGTGGTTACTAGGAAGGGAAGGACTTTGGGACTAGACTGCCTCGGCTGGAGTCCTCTTTCTGCTTCATAGCCACGTGATCCTAGGCATGTTACCTGTGCCTCAGTTTTCACTCTATCAATATGTAATAACTGCATCTGTCTTTGTGGTGAGGATTCAGTGAGTTAACATATTTGAAGTGCTTAAAAATGAGGCTTGTGTCCATAGATTAATGAGTGAATACACAAATGGTGATATGGACATACAGTGGAGTATTAGTCATAAAAAGGAAGGCAGAGCTGATCCATGGCACCATGTGACTGAACCTCAAAAGCATTAGGTTAAGTGGAAGAAGCCAGACACAGGTCACCTATTGTGTAATTCCATTTATAGGAAATATACAGAATATGTAAATCCGTGGAGAAAGAAAGCCGATTTCCAGGGGCTAAGGGGAGGGGAGAATGGGAAGTGGCTGCTTCATGGGTACAAGGTTTCATTTTGAGCTGATGAAAATGTTTTGGAACTACATAGAGATAGTGTTGGCACAACATGGTGAATGTACTGAATGCCACTGATTGTTCACTTTAAAATGGTCAAACTTATGTGAATTTCACCTCCATTAAAAAAAAAAAAAGGACCAGACGTGGTTGCTCACACCCATAATCCCAACACTTTGGAAAAAGGTGAAAGTTTTTTTTCTTTTTTTTTTATATACTTAAGTTCTAGGGTACATGTGCATAATGTGCAGGTTGGATACATAGATATGAGTGTGCCATGTTGGTTTGCTGCACCCATCAACTTGTCATTTACATTAGGTATTTCTTCTAATGCTATCCCTCCCCCAGCCCCCCACCCACTGACAGGCCCCAGTGTATGATGTTCTCTGCCCCATGTCCAAGCGTTCTCATTGTTCAATTCCCACCTGTGAGTGAGAACATGCAGTGTTTGGTTTTCTGTCTTTGTGATAGTTTGCTCAGAATGATGGTTTCCAGCTTCATCCATGTCCCTGCAAAGGACATGAACTCATCCTTTTTAATGGCTGCATGGTATCCCATGGTATATATGTGCCACATTCTCTTAATCCAGTCTGTCATTGATGGACATTTGGGTTGGTTCAAAGTCTTTGCTATTGTGAATACTGCCACAATAAACATACATGTGCATGTGTCTTTATAGTAGCACGATTTATAATCCTTTGGGTATATACCCTAAGACCTGGGACGCATTTAAAGCAGTGTGTAAAGAGACATTTATAGCACTAAATGCCCACAAGAGACCTCTGCCTGAGAACGTGGGTTTCAGCCTAAGAGTTGTAATATGTGTGCCCATTCACAGGTGCTGCATCAGAGTCCCAGGTGGGAAGAAGGCAAGCATACACAAAAATGGTAAAAGGCAGAAAGGAGCCCAGTCTCGTTCTTTTTAAGAAGTTTTCCTAAGAATCTCCACCCAGCGACTTGCTCTCACATCTTCTTGGCCAGCACTGGACCACACAACTTCTTCTAGATACAGAGGAGTCCTAGGATTCTATGAGAAAGAAGGGGAGGGTGGGCAAAGGGCAGCCAGCTGTGCAGCATCTGCTGGAGACACCTAACCCTTGGTGGAGGGGTTGTGGTGCTGGGAGAAGGCTTTCTGGACGGTGTGACAGCAGAGATAAACTTAAAGGCCAAGTAGGAGTTACCCTGGTGAAGCAGGGCAGGGTTACAAGCATTCCAGCAACTTGAAGCAGCAGGAGTGTTTTAATTAAAAGAAGGCAGTTGCTGTAACCAACTATAAACAAATAAAGGCTTAAACACAATGGAAGTTTATTTCTCACTAAGGGAACATCCAAATCCATGATACTTTAAGTCAGGGACCCAGGTTCCTCCCATCTATGGTTCTGCCATCACTAATCTGGGTCTTCCACAATTGCCGTGCTCCTTGGAGGTGGGAAGAGCAGGCGGAGGACACGTGGGAGGTTTTAGAGACAAGCCTGGAGGCAGCATGCGTCACTCCCATGCAGAGTCCATTGGCCAATGCTGGCTCCGATGGCCACATCTCACTGCAGGGGCAGCTGGGAAATACAGTCTGGCTGTCTACCCAGGAGGAAGAGCAGCCAGTTTCTGCTGCTGATGATCAGGAGGTAGAGAAAATGTTCAGTCGGGCAGGGAGTGGGAATAGACAAGACCACAAGCAGCTTGGTGCCTCTGAAAGGGAGAGGGGTGGAGGGGAGACTAGAGAGGTGGGTAGGAATACTGGATTCCACTGACCACATGCTGGATGTCACGCTTAGCCCTCCTGCTCTGTGCCGGGTTAGGCACCTGGTGTTTTACGTACATAATCTCAATTCTGTGAGGGCATCCGACCTGTGGGAAAAGAGCTGTTTGTTTCAAATGCTACTCCTGCTTCCTAACAAGTGTTTAGAGCTTAATCGTGTTCAAAATACATATACAATGTTTAATACTTACAAGAATTTGGCGGGGAAAATATTACCATCTTTCCCTTTTATGATTGGAGAAAAATGAGGCTTTGAAGGGTTTAAGAACTTGCCCAAGGTTGGCCAGGTGCAGTGGCTCATGTCTATAATCCCAACACTTTGGGAGGCTAAGGTGGGAGGATCGCTTGAGGCCAGGAGTTCAAGACCAGCCTGAGCAACATAGTGAGACTTTGTCTCTATAAAAAATAAATAAATAAATAAAAAGAACTTGTCCAAGGTCAGACAGGCAGCCTCTTAGTAAGCACACATATCTTCTATATTATACTACCTCTCATGGAGGATCTCCTGTGTTCTACAAATAGTCTGGACTTGAGCCAGAATGTGTTATAATCCTGGGATCACAGCCAGTGGGCTTAGAAGAAGCCATCTCTTTCTCATGCCAAGATGAGGCTCCCCCAGATTTGCTCAGACTTACCTATAGTCAGCAGCATCGGGGGTCAGGAAAGACTTCATGAAGCCATAAATGCATCCTTCTCGGGGCAGCACCTGGCTCTCCCAGGTGAGAGAGGAATCCATTTTCACAGGCAGGTGTGGGAGCTTCAGCACCCATCTCTGGGCCCAGAATGACCCACTGGAGACCTTACAGCTCTCCTGTCACCCCCAATTCCTGCCCCCTCTGCAGCCTTGGAGGAGAATGGAGCTGAAGGGCCTGCCCTCTGTAGGGTGAGAAAGGGAGGCTAAAGCCTGGTGCCCACTGCCCTGGCTGCTCCGCATTGCAGGAGCTGCGCCCTTCCTTTCCTGGCACAGGGTCCACAGCCCCGAAACCCCGTTGTGTGGGAGCTGGGCACAGGGCAGCAGGACTAATCCTTGGAACAGCTCAGGGAGGATTATCCCAGCCACTGTCAGCAGCGGTGCAGCTGGCTCATTCCCATATAGGGGGAGGCCAGAGCCAGGGGCCTGCCACAAGTTGGAAGGCTGGGGAAGGGGAGGCCAGCAGAGGTGTCCTGGCTGTGGGTGGCTCTGAGGGGGCTCTCAGGGGTGGGGCTAAATCTCAGGGGCAGGATTATGTAAATCAAACCAATTCTAGCCACAGATTTAAAGTTTGGAAAAAAAAAAAAAAACCCAGCCTGGCGGAAAGAATTTAAATTATAAAAACTTAGAAGTATGGAATGTGAAATCATCCTGTAGGTGCTTATTTAACAACGAAATCATCCCGACACAATGAGCCATATGTGAAAAGTCCTCCTTCCCCAACACATCCCCCAACAGGCACTCCTCAAACCTCTACCACCCAAGTGCTGGCATCCTCCCTGTCCTGCTTCACCTGAGACACCCCTTGTCTCATTAGACATGCAACTACGGGAGGGGTGACAGGAAGACAAGACACTATTTCCTCAGGCCCAGTTTGGTGTGGGGAGAAAGCCTCCTGATCCTGAAAGCAAGAATTTGACCAGAGCAGAAGTAATCAGTATGCAGATTGACTCTGTGGTATGTTAATGTTTATGCATAGATTATGAGGACTAGATGAAAAGTGGGCCAGGGGAGACAGATGTGTGTGTGAGTCATGGGTGGCTGAGATGGGGACAGGAGGGAAACTGGTTCGGAGGCTGCTGGCGATGGGATGGGGGTGCCAGGAGGAAGGGAGGCAGTTGTTTGAATGTCTGCATGAAAAAGCAGAGGACGGCGGGGTCTGGGTGAATTCGGGCAACCATTTGGACGGTGGAGAAAACTGCCTGCGTGCGGCTGAGGACCTGAACTATTAATTTGTTTTTTAGCTAATGCAAAGATAAATATAAAAACTGATACTCCATCCAGTTACCAGAAAACATTTAGGTATGTGTGAGACAACTTGGGTATGTGAACCTACCTTTTCAATGTAAATTCAGTGAAATCTAAGTACAGATCCCATATTTCCAATAAAAAGGTAACATCCAAACTCAGATGTCCTATGAGTATAAAATACACAAAGATCTTCTGGACTTAGTATGAAAAGGGATTTTTTTTGTCAGGTACCTCACTAGTTATTTTTAAAATAGGATTGCATGTTGAAATGATAATCTTTTGGATATATTGGGTTAAGTAAATGTATTATTAAAGTTAATTTCACTTAAAAATGTTTAATGTAGCTACTAGAAATGTTAAAATTAAGCATGTTGCTCACCTTATGTTTCTATTGGACGGCTCTCTCTAGATACAAAGGCTGCCAAGAGGTACCTCACTCTAGCTTCAGGGAGAAGAGAGGAATTAGCAAGGCCAAGCAGAAGCTCCTGAGGGCAGGGCCAAGGGCGGCTTGGTGGGGTGGGGATGGGATGCACAAAGATAACTCCAACCCTTAGGAAGGTGTTTCCTAGAGCAGGCTGTGACCTGTCAGTTTATACACTGAGGCTTAGGAGCCTCTTGGATGCCTCCAGATCTGCACCCCTGAATTGCCCTGTGCCCCTGCCGTCTTTGTTCCTGTGCTGGCATAGTGGTCTCACCTCAGGCAGTATCACCACCACTGGGCACAAGCTTCTCCAGCACAGCAACTGTGTCTTATTTCTCCTTGTACTCCCAGTGTTCACACCATGTTGCACTCACAGAAGACTCTTCGGTGATATTTTGTGGACAGAGAGAATGCCTGTGAGAGTGGGCTGAAGTGTGCGTTGGGCTCCAGAGACCTTAAGGAGGGGAGACCAGGTCCTGAGTAAAGTTGAAGGGGAGGGGCTGAGTCCTGCTAGCCAGGAGTCTCATCCCCTGGGGAAGTTCCAGGGACCCTCAGAAGCGCAAGGGGACGGTGTTAGTGTTAGTCCAGTAACACAGCCCAGAGCCTGCCTTCCACGTGGGTTTGACAGGAGCCTCCTAACTGCTCTTCTGCTTCCATTTTTGCCCCTTCAGTCTATTCTCAACAGGGAAGCCAGAGGCATCCTTAACCATGTCAGATCATGTGGCTCCTCAGCTCAAAGCCTCATCTCAGAGGAAAGCTCTGGTCCCTTAGAAATGGCCCAGGTGGTGACAGACAGACTCTAAGGTGAGCAGACTGTTGCTAGATATCTGGGCTTGGAGGACTCGCCACTGCTCAAAGGCAGTGAGGATTTTCGCACTAGAAGCTGGAGGACAGGGATCCTTGTTAGGTAGGAGCAGAAAGCTTAGAAAAGTGGTCTCCTGCAGTTATGTGGAAAACACATCATGTAAGTGATAAATTGGGTATGCAGTTGAGGAGATTTCCAAGTAAAATGTTGAGGATGCTGCCTGGTTTCTTCTTACTGCTTATAATATAGTGTGAGAGAAGAGAGATAAATTGAGAAACAGACTGGTTTTTAAACTGTTAAAATTGAATCAGGACTTGATGATTTTGAAAATTGTCAGTCTCCCCACATGGCAAAAGATGCTGAAATTAACAAATGGCTTCTGAGCATGTGGCATAGGGTGTAACTGTACAGTCTTTTGTGATTATGCATAAAGATCAAAGGATGGGAGTAGCAATGAGTCACACAGAGGTCTGTTGCAAGAGATTATAAGGGTGTACCATGCAGAACCTCTCCACCAAACCTTAGGGCCCCTGGGAAGCTTCAGTGAGTTACCCTGGGGGCCATCTTGGCAGGAGCTGAAGGTAGAAAGGTAGAGTTTATCTCTAAAAGATTCATGGGTATGGCTCTTGACAAATCGACTATGAGCCCCACTGAAACCCACAGAGGACAGGCAAAGGGTTTGGGAAAGCTGTTTCACCCACAGTGCTGGCAGATTGGTCTGTAGGGGACAGAGTGCAAAATGAAAGAAGACTGTCAGAGCCCCCAAACTCTGCTGTCAAGAAGAAGGCTGATAAAACTACTTGGCTGCAAACACGTGGATCTTTCGTGAGAAAAGAAGGATGACCCAGAGGCAGAAGCCCAGAAGGCAGAGCCAAGAGACATGGAATCTTCCCACATCTTAAAACCTGTTTAGGGAACACCAGCGTCTGTCCAGCTGGATTTCAGAACCACCATTCCTTCATCCCTCCTCTGCTGCCTCTTTCTGAACAGCGATGTCTCCAGCTTCACCCACCATTGTGTGTTGCATATGTAGGGGGCAGATAGCTTGTATCTTTAGTTTTCCAGATCAGAGGAACATCCAAAGAAATCTGTTCTACACCTAAACCCGATTTAGATGAGATTCGGGACTGTGAGCATGAAGGGATCTCAAGAGGGGTGAATGTGTTTTGCATGCACAAGGGACATGAGTCTTGGGGACAGAGGACAGGCTGTGGTGGCAGATACTAAGGTGACCCCCCACAACCCCCACCTCTGCCATTCACACCCTTGAATAATCCCCTTCTCTGGTTGTAAGCAGAACCTGTGGCTTGCTTATGAAGGAGGCGGTATATATGTGATTCATGTACTAACCATATTGTATAAGATCACTGGCTGGATGCAGTGGCTCGTGCCTGTAATCCCAACACTTTGGGAGGCTGAGGTGGGTGGATCACCTGAGGTCAGGAGTTCGAGACCAGGCTGGCCAACATGGCAAAACCCCGCCTCTACTAAAAATACAAAAATTAGCCAGGCATAGTGGTGCACGCCTGTAATCACAGCTACTCAAGAGGCTGAAGCAGGAGAATTGCTTGAACTCAGGAGGTGGAGGTGGCAGTGAGCCAAGATCGTGCCACTGCACTTCAGCCTCAGTGACAGAGTGAGACTCTGTCTCAAAAAATAAATAAAATGTTAAGATCATAACCTGTCTTTCTGGGGAATCTCTATTGACGCCTTTGAAGAAGCAGGCTGCCATGTTGCAAGCTGCCTCATGGAGGGGATCAGCTGCGAGGAACTAAGAGCCCCCTCCAGTCGATGCTCACCAGGAAGCTGAGGTCTTGTGTCCAGCACCCTGCATGGAACTGAATGCTGCCATGTGAGCTTGGAAGCAGAGCCATCCACACAGCTGAGCCCCAGATGAGAACCCAGTGCTGGCTGACACCCTGATGGCACCTTACAGAGGACCAGTTAGGCTGTGCCAACTCCTGACCTGCAGAAGCTGGGGAACATTGGGTCGTATTTGCAGCTGCTGGATTTGTGGGAATTTGTCACACAGCAATTGGGAGTCACACGGCCTGTGACGCCCCAACAATCCACACCTCCTGCATCTCCCTGCCTTCACTTCCTAGCACACTGCCCTGACTCCCTCTGCCGTAGCCACGCTGGCCCTCTGCTGTTCTTCGAAGCCACCAGGCCTGCATTGGCTCCCAGCCTTTGCTCTCACTGCTTTCGCCTCCTAGAGAGCCCTTCCTGCATGTATATGTTTGACTCACTCCCTTGCCTCCTTCAGACTTGTACTTAAAAATCTCGGTAAGGATTTCCCTGGCTACCCTTTTAACAATTGCAACCCACTTCCATCCCCATCCCCAACATGCCATATTTCCTTTCTTCTTCCTTCTTCTTTTTTTTTTTTGACACAGGTTCTCTCTCTGTCACCCAGCCTGGAGTGCGGTGACATGATCTCGGCTCACTGCAACCTCTGCCTCCCCAGGTCAAGAGGTTCTTCTGTCTCAGCCTCTGAGGTAGCTGGGACTACAGGCACACACCATATTGTCTTTTTTTTTTTTTTTTTTGTAGATACAGGGTTTCACCATGTTACCCAGACTGGTCTTGAACTCCTGGACTCAAACGATCCACCTACCTCAGCCTCCCAGGCTTTCTTTCTCTCCAATGTGTTTGCCTGTTTTATTTACTGCTGTATCCCCAGGTCATAGGAAGTGCTCACTAAGTACTAGCAGAGAAAATGAGTGAGCCGTGGGGATTCATGGATGGAGGATGGTTATGCTGATGAGCAGGAAGAGACTGGGAGGCTGGAGGCCATTTTCTGGCTGGCGGACCTCCAGAGTCAGAACTCCAACACGCTCTTCCTTGACACATCCTTTACGATAGAATATGTAGTCTTGCAGGAGGGGAATGGACTGTGAGTCTATTCCTATGTTCTATAAAACACCGATGACTATGGATATACATCTGGTTGCTTTAAGTGTGTGCAGTGACCTGCACAATGTCACACCTGGTAACTGGTCGGTAGTAACAGAAGTGCCTCTCCTTTCCTCCTCTTTATACATGAGGATGGCTGGATACAGAGCAGTCAAACTTGACCAAGGTCACTCTCGTCATTTCATTCCAGACCTAGGAGACAGAAAGGAGCTCTCCTGATGCTAGTCCCCAGCTGGAGACAGTGGCTTGGTGCAAAACATCCCCAGGGGCAGCCAGCCTTCTAGGGAATGGACAGAGAGGCAAGAGCAGGCCAGCCTGCTAGGGAATGGACAGAGAGGCAAGAGCAGGCCAGCCTTCTAGGGAATGGACAGAGAGGCAAGAGCAGGCCAGCCTTCTAGGGAATGGACAGAGAGGCAAGAGCAGTGGGTTCGAAGCCAGCTCCACTGGGAAGTGCAGACAGCCTCAGGACAGACCTCCACCCTGGGGGGGAGCCACCATGGTCACCTGGCTGAATGTGGGTTGGATTTGGATCAGACAGGATGATGAGGGAGCTGCCACTTGCCGGACGCCAGATGCCCCTGGCTGACACACAGAAGGGCAGATGTGGTCCCGGCTCCCAGGGGAGCAGGGTTCTCTGGGCGTTGGCCAGGCAAAGAAGAGCCGGAGAACCAGAGTGGCCCCGCCAGGCCTTCCTCTGTCCAGCTCTCCTGTGCACTCCTCCTCTCCCTTCCTTCCCTCTTCTGCCTGACTTCCTCTTCTGGCACTGTCCTTCCTTGTTTCTGTTTCCCCTCTCTCCCTCTTGTCTTTACCTCCTTGGGTTTATTTTATTTTATTTTAAGCTCTAGGATACATGTGCAGAATGTGCAGGCTTGTTACATAGGTAAATGTGTGCCAAGGTGGTTTGCTGCACCTATCAATCCGTCACCTAGGTATTAAGCCCCACATGCATTAGCTATTTGTCCTGATGCTCTCCCTCCCCTCACCCCCACAACATGCCCTGGTGTGTGTTGTTCCCCTCCCTGTATCCATGTGCTTTCATTGTTTAGCTCCCACTTATGAGTGAGAACATGCAGTGTTTGGTTTTCTGTTCCTGTGTTATTTTGCTGAGGACGATGGTTTCCAGTTCTATCCATGTCTCTGCAAAGGACATGATCTCATTTCTTTTTACGGTTGCATAGTATTCCATGCTGTATATGTACCACATTTTCTTTATCCAGTCTATCACTGATGGTCATTTGGATTGGTTCCATGTCTTTGCTATTGTGAATAGTGCTGCAATAAACATACGTGTGTATGTGTCTTTATAAAAGAATGATTTCTATTCCTTTGGGTATATACCCAGTAATGGGATTCCTGGGTCAAATGGTATTTCTGGTTCTGGACCCTTGAGGAATTGCCACGCTGTCTTCCACCATGGTTGAACTAATTTACATTCCCACCAACAGTGTAAAAACATTCCTGTTTCTCCACAGCCTCCCCAACATCTGCGTTTCTTGACTTTTTAATAATCGCCATTCTGACTGGCATAAATGGTATCTCACTGAGGTTTTGATTTGCATGTCTCTAATGATCAGTGATGTTGAGCTTTTTCTCACATGTTTGTTGGCCGCATAAATGTCTTCTTTTGAGAAGTGTCTGTTCATGTCTTTGCCCACTTTTTGATGGGGATGGGTTTTTTTCTTGTAAATTTATTTAAGTTCCTTGTAAATTCTGGATATTAGACCTTTGTCAGATGAATAGATTGCAAAAATTTTCTCCCATTCTGTAGGTTACCTGTGCACTCTGAAGATAGTTTCTTTCACTGTGCAGAAGCTCTTTAGTGTAATTATGTCCCATTTGTCAATTTTAGCTTTTGTTGAAATTGCTTTTGGCAATTTCATCATAAAATCTTTGCCCATGCCTATGTTCTGAATGGTATTGCCTAGATTTTCTTCTAGGATTTTTATAGTTTGGGGTTTTACATTTAAGTATTTGATCTATCTGAGTTAACTTTTGTATAAGCTATAAGGAAGTCCCTCTTATAGCAGTGTGGGGAGCGATTAGGAGTGGGATGGGACAGGAGGCAGAGTGAGCCATCTTGAGGCAGTTGTAACAGTCATAGGGAGAGATCAGATCATAAGATCTGGAGCTGGTCCACAAGCTCAGGGCTGGAAAATGTAGTTGTTCCCAGTTAATACTTCTGGAGTTGGAAAGTATAAAGAGCTATGTCAGTGTCAAGATCCCTGGTAGTTTGGGGCAGGGTACAATTACTCCTCTGGAGTAGATCTCATCGTGGCCCTCTGGGTGTCTGGAGGGCCCAGACAGAATCCCTTACTGTGGCCTGGCGTCTTGCTGGTATTCCCATTGAGGACTGGTGGGGAGAGCCATCATCACCATGGCAGTCCCCACACCTTGCAACCTAAGTACCTGTGTGATTGGTGATGGGTGAGGAACAGAACATCATTTACATATATAAAGAACAGCACGCTGTTTTCTTCCTTGAAGAGAAGCTGGCCCTCCTCCCTGCTTGGCCATCATGCTCAGCCATGGGCCTGGGCTTGGTTGATGGGAGGGAACAAAAAGAATATGGGCCATCTGATCACATGGCTCTGGTTTTGAGCCCCAGCTGTGCTACTTAGTAGCTGTGTGATCTTGGGAAGCCACTTCACTTCTCTGAGCTTCATTTTTCTCCCATGCAAGATGGAGATAGCAATTCTCTTGTAACTCAACTCTATCTTTATCACTTAGTGAATCTTACCTAAATCCACATCTTCAATTTTTTTAATTTTTAATTAAGGTAAGATTTACATGCGGTAAAATTTATAAGTTTTAGAGTGTAGTTCTGTGAGTTCTGACAAATGCATGCAGTTGTGTAACCACATCACAATTGAGATACAGAGCAGCTCCATCACTCCCCAAAATTCACAACCCTCCCCACACCTCCTTGCAGTCAGCTACCCCCATCTCTGCCCCAGGCAACCTCAGATCTGATTTCATCACTAAGGATTAATTTTGCCTATTCTAGAGTGTCGTATAAATTGCATCATACATATGTACTTTTTTACATCTGACTTCTTTCACTCATCATGTTGTTACATGGACCTGTAGTTTGTTTCTGTTGAAGAGCAATATTCCATTGTATAGATGGACCACCATTTGTCATCTATTCACAATCCATGCACATTGGGTTGTTTCCGTTTGAGGGTTATAATGGTTACAGCTGCAATGAACATTATTTTGCAAATTTTTCAGTAGACAAATGATTTTATTTCTGTTGGGTAAATAGGAATGCAATGGCTGAGTTGTATCGTATGTATATATTGAAATTCTGTAGAAACTACCTGTTTTCCAAAGGAGTTGTACAATTTTCCATGTCCCCCATAATATATGAGGGTTTTGGTTGTTCTGCATCCTGGGAACATTTAGCATTGTCAGTCTTTTAAAATTTTAGTCATTCTAGTGTGACATGGTATCTCATTGTGGTTTTAACTTGCATTTTTCTAATGGCTAATGATGTTGAGTACTTATGTGTTTATTGGTCATTTGGATAATCTATTTTGTGAAGTGCCTGTTCAAGCCTTTTTGTGTCTGCAATTTTTACTAGCGAGTTTATTTCTTCTTATTTAAACCTCACTCTGGGCTCCGGACAAATATATCAATGGAATTATTCATACTGCTGCTTGTATGTTTCGAAAGGACCTCAGCTGAACATAAAGGTAAACTTACAATTTCCTCTCTCACTCTTCCCCCCTCCACTTTCAGACCTTGGCCTCCACCACTGACACATCCTCTAGTAGATGACCTCATCATCCACACAGTGGCACAGACCAGAAACCTAGGCAGCTTTCCTGATACCTCTTCTCATCTGTTTCCCTACTCCCACCCAATCCATCGCGTTTCCTCCTGCCTATTTCTTGAACCCAATCAATTCCCCCAAATTCCTCCATCTCCACCATTGCCTAAGCCACCATGGTCTCTCACTTGCATTACTGCAATAGCCTCCTTTCTTTCTTTCTTCTTTCTTTCTTTCTTTTTTTTATTTTGGAAAGGAAGTCTCTGTCACCCAGGCTGGAGTGCAGTGGTGCAACCTGGGCTCACTGCAACCTCCGCCTCCCAGATTCAAGCAATTCTCCTGCCTCAGCCTCCCAAGCAGCTGGGATTATAGGTGCTCACCACCACAACCCGCTAATTTTTGTATTTTTAGTAGAGACAGGGTTTCACCATGTTGGCCAGGATGATCTCGAACTCCTGGCCTCAAGTAATCTGCCCACCTCAGCCTCCCAAAGTGCTGGGATTATAGGCACGAGCCACCACACCCAGTCGATAGCTTCCTTTCTAACAAGTCTTGTTCCCTTCAGGCTGTACTCCATGTACCAATCAGTGTCAGGCCTTTAGAAAACACAGATGTGATTGTAAGACTCTCTTATCCAAATCCTTAATGGCAGCCCATAACTCTTAACATAATTATTTGTTCCTTAATGTGATCTGTAAGACGAGCCATGCCCCAGCCAGACGGTTGTCTTCGAGCCGTGGTTCTAGGCTCCTTGTGTCTCAGGGCCTTTTCACAGACTGACCTGTGTTTGCAACACTCCTTCTCTCTTCTTCACCTCACTAACTCCTGCTCATTCTTCACATCGCAGTTCAAATTTCACTTCCTCCAAGAAGTCTGCCCTGTTCAGAGACAAGATTAGGAATGCTCTACACTTCTTTCATAGACTTATCTTATAATGATGTATTTCTGGGACTATTCAAAGTATGTTTCTCTCACTAGACTAATAAGCTCTGCGGGGAACGAATCTGTTTCGTTTGTGGTGCGTCCGGGTACCTAACACCAGGACCGGCTACGTAACATGAGGCCCAGGGCAAAATGAAAACGCAGCGCTTCTGTTCAAAGAGCAGGAAGAAGCGTCATTGAAGGGGCTCAAATACACGGCGTTTTCCTTTCTTCTGTGTTCTCTCCCACTTGACTTGTCGTGGTATTTTTATTTGCTATTTAATGTCATGCTAAGTTAAAAAACAAATTTAAGGCTGGGTGCGATGGCTCACGCATGTAATCCCAGCACTTTGAGAGGCTGAGGTGGGCGGATCATGAGGTCAGGAGTTCGAGACAAGCCTGGACAACATAGTGAAACCCGATCTCTACTAAAAATACAAAAAATTAGCTGGGCGTGGTGGCGGGTGCCTGTAATCCCAGCTACTCGGGAGACTGAGGCAGGAGAATGGCTTGGACGTGGGAGGCAGAGGTTGCAGTGAGACAAGATTATGCCATTGCACTCCAGCCTGGGTGACAGAGCGAGACTCCATCTAAAAAAAATAAGATAAAATAAAATAAAAAATAAATTTAAATTATCGTGACTTTTTACCATTTGTTTTTATATTGTAGGATGCAAGGTATAAATGAAAATATTAGCATTGACCTCATATGTAGAATCAACACAATTACACAATTCACATTCCACAGCTCATCCATGTGCATGTATTTCATTCTTGCTAAACCAGTAGATACGCTGCACAAAACTAGCCCAGCTCTTTCTATCTCACTTCCTGACACCCACACACTCCAGCAACACTCTCTACCTTGGGATCATGCACACTAAGGAAGGACTGAAAGGACAGGAGCTATAGGCTGCTCTCTCTTCCCCTTTCCTTGTTCCATACAAGTACTAATGAGGCCAGGCCCTGCTTAGCTTCTGAGACGAGATTGGGCACCCTCAGGGCACTGTGGCCATAGTGTCCTGCCCTTTCCTTTCATGTCATCTCAACACGGGGGTCGGTTAGCACAGGGAAGTAACTCCAATAAGAGGATACAACAGGGCTCCTCAGTCATTTGTGTCTCTTCAAATGTCATTGCCTTCTTTCTGTGTACAAGCGCATTCTGGTTTCAGTGGAAAGTGAGGCCTCTCCAGATGGTTAGTGCCCCGCTCACTCAGTCACTGACTAACAACCCTGCCTCTACTCACAGCATGCTGAGTTTCCTGCACATCCCACAGCATGGCTCCCCAGGGGCATGGAGAAGATTATGTGAATGGGGCGGCAGGGAACGGCGGCCACACACATCACATGTGGCTCCTCTGCTCCTGTGCATGCCCCCTTATCCTACAGGACTTCGCTGACAAAACAGAAGTGTGAAGATATCGTTATTAATGTGACAGCAGAGCGTTAAACCGAATGCGGGGCACTTTCAAGTGCAGGACACTATGCAACTGACTTCGCAGGACTCAGAAAGTGGCCCTGCCTAGCACATGGCCACATAGCAGATGCTAATCAATGTGTTAAGTAAAGGAATGAAGGGTTGTCACCTGATAGAAGATAAACAGTTCTTCTGGTTTTGATACAAACTAAAGGCCTCTCTCCTCCATCACCTTGGAGATCCCACATAAATGTCAGAGGGGCACCACTGCCTGTGATTGCCTATCTTTCTGGAGAGGAGAGAGACAGTTGCTCTAATATGTCAGAGCAAGAGTGAGAGGGAGGGCATGAGGGGAAGCTGACAAGGCTTATCTGTGAATTAATCACCGCACTTTGCGTGTACTGCAGGTCACACCTTGTATCCTATGCTCTTAAGACATGGTCCAAGTGTGAACTAAGCTCATAGCTCACTGCCTTCATCCACCTCCGTCGCAGCTCCCGAAGAGAGCTCGAGTTGCTACTTCATTAGCAGAAGGCCTCTGGACCCATCCTGGAGGGGTCCGGGAGCAGACAGAGCAGCTCAGTCAAGGTCAGAGCCACAGGTTGCTGGACCTTCTCAAATTCCTCATGTACTGCCTTGATTTTCATCACATGCAGAAAGATCTCTGAGAATCACAAAGCCCAAGAGCCAGGAGACCCGGGTTCAAAATCTGGCTTTGTGTGAGCCTGGGCAAGTGATATCTTCTCTCTGGGCCTCATTATCTGCTCCATTAAATGAGAAAAGGAACTAGTTAAGTGGCCTAAAAGCAATGTTTCCCAGGAGCTCTGATGTCTCAGGAATTGCACTGGTCGGGACAGGGGAGATTCTCCCCAGCTTCAGTCAGCAGTAATAATAATAACAGGAGGCTGGGTGTGGTGGCTCACGCCTGTAATCCCAGCACTTTGGGAAGCCAAGGGGGGTGGATCACAAGGTCAGGAGATCGAGACAATCCTGGCCAACATGGTGAAACCCTGTCTCTACTAAAAATACAAAAATTAGCTGGGCATGGTGGCGTGTGCCTGTACTCCCAGCTACTTGGGAGGCTGAGGCAGGAGAATCACCTGAACCTGGGAGGTGGAGGTTGCATGAGCCAAGATTGCACCACTGCACTCCAGCCTGGCAACAGAGTGAGGCTCCGTCTCAAATAATAATAATAATAATAATAATAATAGGAAACATTTACAGAGTACCCACTGCTCCAGGTGCCATCATAAATGCTTCACATACATTCACTCATGCAGTAGTCACGATATTCCTATGAGATGGGTTTCAACTTCTATGCCCATCATCAGATGAGAAACTGAAGTGCTGAAGTCTAAGTGACTACTCAAGGTCACACAGCTAGTAAATGACAAGGCAAGGATTCAAGCCTTTGTAGTCTGGCTCTAGGGTGTGTCTGCTTAACTACACTATTCCCATTGTTTTACCTCCCTCCCTCCCACCAACCCATCCATTCACCCACCCATTCATCCAAACATCCACCCATACATCCATCCATCTGCCCACCCACCTATGCATCCATCTCGAGTTTCATGTAAGAGTTTATTTAATAAAGGAATTCTGAAGAATTATAAAAAATAAAAACTTGAAAACTACTCAAGATTGCTATTTAAACTGCAAAAGTCCTCAGGGGTGGGGTTCTATGACTCTCCCCCCTTCCTGGGTCATTCTTAGAGAAGTTTCTGTGGGTGAGGGTGAGGAAGAGTTGGCAGGAATTAGGAAAAGAGAAGATTTTAAAACAATTTGTCAAATGTGACAACCTGCAGCTTATGTGTAGACAGAGTGATGTAAGAAAGCTTGGGTGGCTTGGAATGTGGCTTCATTCTTGCTTCCCTCCTTCTTGTGTCCTCCTCTAGGCAGAACTAGAAGGGGTATTAAGGATTAACTTGTATAATGAGATTCCAGAGGGCTGGACTCAGACCAGTGGGTGAAAGACAAAGGAAGGTCGATCAAAGCTCAATCTAAGGAAAATCTTTCTAACCACCTTGTCATCCTAAAATTGAATAATCATCTCGTGATGCAGAGAGCTGTTGTCCTGGGAAATTTTGGGCAGAGCCTGCTGATCAGGAATGATGTAGTGGGTGCCTGATGCCGTGGAAGGGTGTCTTAGAGTGGGTGAGTCCTTCTTACTCCCAAATCATGTGATTCCATTTCCACCTGGCTCTGCTGTGGGACTTTCAAGGCCCAGGGAAAGGCAGAGTATGGTCCCAGCTCACAGGGAGTGGGGGCAGTGAGGACAGGTTAGAGCAGTAACCAGGATTCTCTGATGTGTACCTCCAGCTTGAAGCTTTCTCAGGGATACTCAATTCACTACCATTGTGCCCTCCTCAAAGCCAGTGTTAAAGAAAGAGGAGGTCAGGCTCAGTGGCTCATGCCTGTAATCCCAGCACGTTGGGAGTCCAAGGCAGGAGGGTGACTTGAGCCCAGAAGTTCGAGACCAGCCTGGGCAACACAGGAAGACCCTGTCTCTGTAAAAAGTAAAATAATTATCTGAGCATGTTGGCACACATCTGTGGTCCCAGCTACTTGGAAGGCTGAGGTGGGAGAATCACTTGAGCCCAGGAGGTCAATGTTGCAGTGAGCTGTGATCATGCCACTGCACTCCAGCCTGGGTGACAGAGCAAGACTGTATCAAAAAAAAAAAAAAAAAAAGAGGAAAATTCTGTCTATGCCCTTCTCACAGCAGGGCTTGATGGATTGTTTAACATGTCTGTCATGGAGGCTTCTAACCTTCTCCAAATCAAGGCAGGTCATTTACTGGGGCTGGAGGTGGGGGTGCAATGGGGGAGGGGTGTTCCCACGTTTAGCTGGTCCCAAAAGTTCTGTTTAGACCTGGTCTCACTCCCCAAACAATTTGTCTAGCACTTTCCTGTGCATATAGAATGTACAGATGTAAGCTCAGGGGATACCAACACAGACCCAGTTCACAGATGAGGATAGGGAAGCTCAGAGAGAGAAAAAACTCACCCCAGTTCCCATGACCAGAGTGACAAACTCAGTCTTCTGGCTCCAGGAAAACTCTCACTGCTCCTACTAAACACTAAAACCTGCTGAGCATTTACTCTATGCAAGATACTGTGCTCCCACAACTCCATTATACCCATAGTACGGGGGAGGAAACTGAGGCTCAGAGAAGTTACATAACTTCCCCAAGACCCCAATGCTGGGAAGGGGCAGAATGAGAGTTCAGACCCGTGCCTGCCTTTTCCAGAATCCATATTCTTTTCCATGACCTTATTCCACTTTTAAATCCAGAGAAGCTCCAAGGAAATGGTGTTCTGGGAGAAGGGGTGAGGGCCTGGGTGCTCCAGATGGCTCAGTGCCTGGCAGGACTGGCTCCACCCATCAGGCGGGCATCGGGGGAGAGTAGGGTTTTCCTAGCTCAGAATGTGACTATAGCAGGTACCCAGAGATGCCCTCCCATCCCTAGGCTGTACACTGCATCCCCTCAATTGACTGTCGCTATGTGAGACACAAAAAATTTGTGCCTCGGGCTGCATTTAAGAGAACCCCTGGCTGAGAAAACTCAGGGCAACCTGGTCTGGGTGGCATTTCTGGCTCTGCTGTGTACTAGCTCTGGGCAAGTCACTTTATTTCTGTGCACCTCTGTTCCCTTTGCATACTTGACATCACGTCATCAAGCATCCATTTTCAGGATCATCGCTAACTCCCTGCCCCAGGTACTCTCTTCACATCAGACGTCCTAATGTGTAGTGCAGAGAAATAGGGGCGGGGCTTAGGGTAGGAGGCATGGGTTCAGCCCTAGTTGTGCCTCCATGGCTGTGTCACTTCAAGCAACTCACCCACTCTATCTGGGCATCACTGGCCACATCTGAGAAACAGGAATAATAACTGTGCACGTCTCGTGTGTCACTCACTAAGAATCAAATAAAATGAGTATGCCATGACATGCATTGTTTATTTATCCTCCCAGTAACCTGTGATGTGGATTCAGTTATTGCCCCTACTCCATGGTTGAGGAAACCAAGACCCAGAGAAATTGAAAACCATAAAGCGAAATACAAATGCTGGCTGGCTCAGATTATCATCACTATTTCAATACACTAATGAAGCAAACGCCTACAAAAACAGGTCCAAAAGATTACAAGGAAAGGCTGTATTTGTTTTATTTCCCAGAAGGATAATGGCCTTGCTTATCTGAAGTCCAGCCACAGAACACATAAGAAGTGTGTGTGAGCCAGAAGCAGTAGCCACTCAGGTGTGCACGTGTGGTTACAGCAGGGTTAGCTTTTGTTCTGCCCAGATGCAGAGGGCTGGATGAAATGACCCCTGAACACCCTCTCTCATCACACAGGATTCATCAGAACATCTGGGCAGGAGCAGATGTCCCTTCCCCATCCCCCTGCCCATCTAGAGAGCTGTCCCACCAGATCCTGGTGGGAAACCTGGACTTATGTGCTGAAGTGAGAGAAAGTTCCCCTGGGGTAATGCGGCTCATTGGCAAGGAGGCCATGCCTTCCACCCTTGTCAGGTAGTTGAGGAAGAGGGAGGCACTGAATGAGCACCCAGGGTCAGAAAAATCAAATGCCTTGCTGTTCTTGCAGGTGGTCTTTAGACATTAAAGCCTCTATCAATATCCCTTCTGCTCCCAACAAGTTATCCTGGAATTATGATCTTAAAACATACATGTCAGAACTAAAAAAGGAAATCTAGAGATGACTTCATTTTATAATCTCAATTTTAAAACATTTTATTGTTGATTATACATACACGTGGAAAAAGTACATTGTATATTATATATAATCTACATGTACATGTAATATAGACATATATGCAAACACAAACACACACACACAATTCAACCAAATATCTTACACTGTCATGTAAAAAGTGACACTTCCAAGCCCACGGGGAGGAGTGCCCTTTTCTGGGGCTGCCTCCTTCCCAAAACTAAGCACAGTTCCTCATGATTCTCTCTCTTGTCCCTCCCCACCACTTCCTTACTCTCACGAATTGCCCATTGTGCCCAAGGCTTCAGACAGCACAAGTTGGAGTGTGGGGTAGGTGCCTACATTTATTAGGCACTGATTCTTTCCCTCACTGAAGGGGTGGCCTGCCCCTCCATACCTGTGGGTATTTCTAGTTGGGTGGGACGAGAGACTGAGAAAAGAAATAAGACACAGAGACAAAGTATAGAGAAACAACAGTGGGTCCAGGGGACCGGCGCTCAGCACACCAAGGACCTGCACCGGCACCGACCTCTGAGTTCCCTCAGTTTTTATTGATTATTATTTTTCATTATTTCAGCAAAAAGGAATGTAGTAGGAGAGCAGGGTGATAATAAGGAGAAGGTCAACAAATTACATGTGAGCAAAAGAATCTATACCATGATTAAGTTCAAGGGAAAGTACTATGCCTGGACGTGCACGTAGGCCAGATTTATGTTTCTCTCCACCCAAACATCTCAGTGGAGTAAAGAATAACGAGGCAGTATTACTGTAAACATGTCTCACCTCCCGCCACAGGGCAGCTTTTCTCCTATCTCAGAGTTGAACAAATGTACAATCGGGTTTTACACTGAGATATTCAGTTCCCAGGGGCAAGCAGGAGACAGTGGCCTTCCTCCATCTCACCTGCAAGAGGCTTTCCTCTTTTACTAATTCACCTCAGCACAGATCCTTTACGGGTGTCAGGCTGGGGGACCATCAGGTCTTTCTCATCCCACGAAGCCATATTTCAGACTATCACATGGGGAGAAACCTTGGACAATACCCAGCTTTCAAGGGCAGAGGTCCCTGTGGCTTTCCACAGTGCATCGTGCCCCTGGTTTATTGAGACTAGAGAACGGCAATGACGTTTACCAAGTATACTGCTTGTAAGTATTTTGTTAACAAGGCACGTCCGGCACAGCCCTAGGTCCCTTAAACCTTGATTTTATACAACACATGTTTTTGTGAACTCCAAGTTGGGTCAAAGTGGCTGGGGCAAAGCTACAAATTAACATCATCTCAGCAAAGCAACTGTTTAAAGTACAGGTCTTTTTCAAAATGGAGTCTCTTATGTCTTTCCTTTCTACATAGACACAGTGACAGTCTGATCTCTCTTTCTTTTCCCTACACTCATGGATTTCACAATCTTGGAAGGGATCACAATGACACAAATAACTACACAAAAAAGACAGTGGTAAAGGCCAGAGAAGGATATAGGTGAGGTGCTGTGAAACTCACGGGAAAGAAAATGGAAGCTACCATTGGCATAAGTGGCCTTGATAAAACAGGACTTGAGCATGCAGAGGTTCAGGATGAGAAAAAGCACTTTACACAGAGTGGAAAGTGTGAGAAAAACAGCTGTGGGTGTGGGAGGAGGAAATGGCCCAATCAGCTGGAGCCTGATATTCATTAGGACGGCGGTGGGACAGGATGCCGGGAGAGAGGCTGGGTGCAGAGGAGAGGAAGGCAGGCCCAGCCTGGGCCTGGAGGGGCAAACCTGCATGGTGTGGCTCAGGGAAGGGGAACCCCACACTCACTTCTGGCCTGGCATTCTGGGGATCCCCACTTCTCTCACTGCGGAGATGATTCCGGCGTCACGGTGTGAAGACTGGAGTCCCAGCCCCAGCAGCCCCGCTTACCAGCTATCCTTCCTTAGGGAAGCCATGACTCCCCCTGGACCTCAGATTTCATGACCTAAGAGGGAGATTATAACCCTTTCTTGCCTTGCTCAAAGATGGCTGTGAGGATTAAATGGTCATGAATATGAAGATGTCTCTGAACTTGAAATTGTGGCACAAATGCAAGGCGTTACTTTTATTGCCTTCTAGCCCAGGAGTTCTCCACATTTAGGGTTCATCAGAATCACCCAAAAACTGTAGCGTTTTGGCTTCTGGCTGTGAAAAACTGGCTGGAAGCCAAAAATTGGAACTGTGCTTGCCGTTCTGCTATCAATATCAAGAAAACGGCTCCATCCCAATCTACACATCTACTTAAAAACCAGTGTTCAGATGAGCAGCACAGGACCATGATTCCAGAGAGAAGGAAAAGAAACCAGGAGAGACTTCCAATCACCTTGGCCCTCTGCCTGGAGAAACTTCCAAGACGGCAGAGCAGGGAGGGGAACCAAAGCACAGCATGATGTGTCTCTGAGTTGAGGACACAGCGAGTAGAGTTTGGGGAGGCTGAGGTGGCTGCAATTCAGAGTGCAGAGTGCCAGAGAAGAGAGAGTTATGTAGAGAAAGGGCTCCAGAAATCGGCCCAGGTCCTCCTTGAATCCATGGCTGAACACTAAGCTAAACACATATATGGGGACATTCCACAAGACTGATCAAATATGACTGGGGGCTCCAAGCTGAACAATGGTCAGGGCTCACAGAAGGCCAGAAGAGGTCCAGCTTCTGACCAGCCAGAGTGAAGAGACCTCCATGGCATTCAACCAGATGACAGAAGATCACACCTTATAGTAGGGATGAACTAGCCCTGGAGTAGCGAGTACTCTAGATTTGCCCCACATAAGCTTCAGCACAGGTCTTGAAAGGTTCAAGCTGATCCCAAGAACAAAGTCCAACACCCTTTTCTTTCTTTCTTTCCTTCTTTTCTTTTTTTCTTTTCTTTTCTTTTCTTTTCTTTTCTTTTCTTTCTTTTCTTTTCTTTTCTTTTCTTTTCTTTTCTTTCTCTCTCTCTCTCTCTCTCTCTCTCTCTCTCTCTTTCTTTCTTTCTTTCTTTCTTTCTTTCTTTCTTTCTAGGATCTTGCTCTGTCACAAAGGCTGGAGTACAATGGTGCAACCATAGCTCACTGCAGCCTCTACCTCCCAGGCTCAAGACATCTTCTCACCTCAGCCTCCCAAAGGTCTGAGCCACCCAGCACAGCCAGGAACATTATTCGTTAGTATTGAGAGGAAATAAAAGTCAACCTAGAATTCAACATCCATGAAAAAGAAACTTCAACAATTAAGGAGAAATAAATACTTTTTCAGACAAAAAAAATGATAAAATTTGTCACCAGGGAGGCCAAGGCAGGCGGATCATGAGGTCAGGAGATCGAGACCATCCTGGCTAACACGGTGAAACCCCATCTCTACTAAAAGTACAAAAAATTAGCCAGGCGTGGTGGTGGTCATCTGTAGTCCCAGCTACTCGGGAGGCTGAGGCAGGAGAATGGCATGAACCCGGGAGGCGGAGCTTGCAGTGAGCCGAGATCACGCTACTGCACTCCAGCCTAGGCAACAGCGAGACTCCGTCTAAAAAAAAAAAAAAAAGAAAAGTTTCAATCAATTTTAAAAGACTGACATCATCATTTGGAGTATGTTCTCTGACCACAAAGGAATTAAGTTAGAAATCAATCATAGACATACTTGGAGATAAACAACACGTTTTTAAATAACAAGGGATGCTACAAAATATTTTGCACTGAATGAAAATGAAAATAAAATTTGTGAGCTGCAGGTAAAGCAATGGTTGGCAGGATGTTCACAGCTTTAAGTGAAGTGATAAAAGAAAAAAAGTCTAAAATCAATCATCAAGCTTCCACCTGAAGGAGTTAGCAAAAGAAGAGCAAATGGAAACAAAAGTAGGTAGAAAAAGGGAAACAGCAAAGGTAAGAGTAGAAATCAATGAAATAGAAAATGGACACACAATAGAGAAAAATAACACCAAAAACTGGTTCTTTGAAAATATCATAAAATTGGATAAATTTCTAGCCTGACTGATTTTCTAAAAATAAACAAATTGCCAATCTCAAGAATGAAATAGGGGACATCATGGCACAGCCTACAGACATTAAAATGTTAATAGGAAATTATTAGAAACAGCTTCACGCCAACAAGTTTGAAAATGCAGACGAAATGGATACATTTCTTGAAAGACACTGTGCTGGTTTCTAATTGCAGCTGTAATAAATGACCTCAAATACAGAGACTCAAAACTACACAGATTTAGTGTCTTGCAGTTCCAGAAGTCAGAAGTCCTAAACTGGGCTTCTTCTGCTGAAATCGAGGTATTGGCAGCACTGGGTCCCTTCTGCAGGCTCTAAGGGAGAATCTTTCCTGCCTTTCCCAGCGTCCTCAGGCTGCCAACATTCCTTGGCTTCTGGCTCCCAGCAGCAACCGCATCACTCTGACCTCTGCTTCTCTGATCACATCTTCTTTCTGACTTTGACGCTTCTGTCTCCCTCTTACAAAGACTTGTGATTACACTGGGTCCAGCCGCATAATCCAGGATTAACTTCCCGTCTCTGGATCTTTATTTTAAGCACATCTTTATAAAGTCCCTTTTGTCATGTACAGTAACACATTTACTGGCTCGGGGGATCAAGACATGGGCATCCTTGGGAGGTCATTCTGCCTACAGAGACACAAATACTAAAATGGATAGACAAAGAAATACAATATCTGAATAGCCCTATATCTATTAAAGAACCTGAATTTATAGTTTAAAATCTTCCCACAAAGAAACCTCCAGGCAGACATGGCTTCATTCTGTCAAACACTTAAGGAAGAAATGAACCTTAACTCATCATACTGAACACACAAATCCATGTGAAATAGATCATAGGCCTAAACATAAAAGCAAAAACTATAAAATCTCCAGAAGGAATATAGGAGAACATGTTTATGACCTTGGGATAGGCAAAGGATTTTTGATAGGACACAAAGAACATGAATCATAGAAGAAAAATTGGTAAGTTTTCCATCAAAATAAAAACCTTTGCTTTTCAACAGATAATATTAAGAAAATGAAAAGGCAAGCCACTGACTAGGAGAAAATATTTGCAATACATACATCTGACAAAGACTGCTTTCCAGAATATATAAAGAAGTCTTATAACTCAAAAATAAGAAGACAAACAATTCAATAGAAACTGTGGGCAAAGAAGATACACAAATGGCCAATAAACCCATAAGAAGATGCTCAACAGCATTAGCCAAGAGGAAAACACTCATTAAAACCATGTTGGGATACAACTACTCACCCACTCAAATGGATTAAATAAAAATGGGATGAAAATACCAAGTGTTCACAAGGATGTGAAACACCTGCATCTCTCATACATTGCTTGCGAACATAAAAATAAGTACCATCACTTTGGAAAACCATTTAGCAGTTTCTTATTCCGTTAAATACATACTTCTTTTTTTTTTTTTTTTTTTTTTTTTAAGATGGAGCCTCACTCTGTCACCCAGGCTGGAGTATAGTGGCGCGATCTCGGCTCACTGCAAGCTCCACCTCCCGGGTTCACGCCATTCTCCTGCCCCAGCCTCCCGAGTAGCTGGGACTACAGGTGCCTGTCACCACGACTGGCGGATTTTTTTGTATTTTTAGTAGAGACGGGGTTTCACCGTGTTAGCCAGGATGGTCTTGATTTCCTGACCTCGTGATCCACCCGCCTTGGCCTCCCAAAGTGCTGGGATTACAGGCATAAGCCACTGTGCCCAGCCAATACATACTTTCATATGATCTAGCAATTTCAATTCTATATTTTTACTCTTAATAAAACACATGAAACGTATTAAAATATATGTCCCCACAAAAACTTGTCCATTAATAATCACAGCAGCTTTATTCAAAATAACCAGAATCTGGAAACAACCAAAATGTCCATCAACAGTTGATGACATGAATTATGGTACATCTACTGTGAGTACAACTCTAAAATAAAAGGAACAAATGAATGATACCTATAACAGAATGGATGAACCTCAAAAGTATTATGCTGAGCAAAAAAGAAAAACATGGCCAGGCATGGTGACTCACACCTGTAATCCCAGCACTTTGGGAGGCTGAGGCAGGCAGATTGCTTGATGCCAGGAGTTTTAGACCAGCATGCACAACATGGGAAAACTTTGTCTCTACAAAAAATACAAAAATTAGCTGGATGTAGTGACATGCACCTGTAGTCCCAGCTACTAGGGAGGCTGAGGTGAGAGGATCACCTGAGCCTGTGAGGTTGAGGCTGCAGTGAGCTGTGATCATACCACTTCACTCCAGCCTGGGTGATGGAGTGAGACCCTGTCCCAAAAAACTAAAAAAGGGGACTCAGAAAAAAATGGCAAATAGGAGGCAGGTCTAACTTGCAGCTCCCACTCAGATGGAGACAGAACAGTGTGTGAAGACTCACATTATGAACTTTTGCTCCAAGAACTACCGCAAAACATACCAGGAAACCCAAAGGAATTCACAGACCCTTTGAAAGAAGCAGCTTGCCACTGCAAACTTCATGAGACAGCCAAAAAACTGTGAGTGCCTAAAGTGTGAGAGGGGGAAGGTCTGCCTCCAAATACACATCCTTACTGGGGAAACTGAAAATCCAGATCACAGGAGAAGGATTTAACCTTACGTAGAGGTGAAATAAATTTAGAGAGCCGAGTGAAATATAAAAGTAGAAGCAGCGGTGAGAAGAGCTCTGTAAGTACTCCCAGCCCCCAGGGAAGCCCAGGGAAGCCATTTCTGACTTTCTCTCACAGGGGTCCTCAGGCAAGGCAGAGAGTGGAACTGGGGAAGGGTCACAAGGAGGAGACTTCCAGCAGAACTTTGTAATAATTTCGACTGAGCATGAATTTTCCTGGACAGCATTGTGGGGTAGGGCAAAAACGGGAAGTGCAGATATGAGCACAGAAGCCAAGGCAAGCAGAGAGGGGTGAGACCTGAAAGCCCTGCTTGCTTTCTCAGCAGAGAGGCTTGTAGCCTGGGGCAATATCTCAGCCTTGCACACCTGAGGCCTGGATATAAATTCAGCTCTGTCGGGAGAGCATGACAGGAGCACTGGCCTTGCTGGCTACACGGGAGCTGGGTGAGGCCTGTCGCTGCTGGCTTTCCCCCACTTCCCTGGGACTTGTATGAAGCATCAAAGGCAGCCATAATCCCTCTTGAAGCATAACTCCACTGACCTGAGAACAACCCCCCATCCCCCACAGTGGCCACAGCAAGCCCAGCCCTAGGAGAGTCTGAGCTCAGACATGCCTAACACTGCCCCAACCTAATGGTGTTTCTTTACCAGCCCTGGTAGCTGAAGACAAAAGATGAACTCATGGGAGCTCTATGGCCCTGCCCATCACCTGAGAAACCCAAATACTTATCCAGGTGACCTTAGAGCAAGCTTGTATCCACCCCTATACTACCACAGCTAATGCTCTCTTGAAAGCACCACCTCCTAGTGGGAGGCCAACCAACTCAAGCCATTACAGCAACTCATAACAGAACAGCACTGCTCCAAAAAAGGAGAAAACAACAGCCAATTCCACTGCCTGTAACATCTTGGCTCCCCAGAGGCCCTGAGTCTGTCCATGTAGCAACTTCATTGCTAGTATAACCAGCATTCGAGAAAAACAGCACACTAAACAAAACTACAACCAAGGACTCTGACAGAGTCCACTTCACTCCCCTGCTACCTCCAGCTGAGCAGGTGCTGGTATCCACAGCTGAGAGACCTGAAGATGAATCACATCACAGGACTCTTTGCAGACACTCCCCAGTAACAGCCCAGAGCCTGGTAGCCCCGCTGGGTGGCTAGACCGAGAAAAGCAATAACAATCGCTGCAGTCCAGCTTTCAGAAAGCCGCATCTCTAAAGGAAAGGGGAGAGCACCACATCAAAGGATCGCCAGTGGGACAAATCTGAACAGCAGCCCTTGCACCCCAAATCTTTCCTCTGACATAGTCTACCCAAATGAGAAAGAACCAGAAAAACAATTCTGGTAGTATAATAAAACAAGGTTCTATAACACCCCAAAAGGTCACACTAGCTCACCAGCAAACATGGATCCAAACCAAGAAGAAATCTCGAATTGTCAGAAAGAGAATTCAGAAGGTCAATTATTAAGCTCCTCAAGGAGGTATCAGAGAAAGGTGAAAATCAATTTAAAGAAACTTAAAAAATAATACAGGATGTGGATGAAAAAAATTTCCAAATAAATAGATCTCATAATTAAAAAGCAATCACAACTTCTGGAAACTAATGACGCACTTAGAGAAGTGCAAAACACACTGGAAAGTTTCAACAATAGAATCAAACAAGTAGAAGAAAGAACTTCAGAGCTCAAAGACAAGGCTTTTGAATTAATCCAACCTGACAAAGACAAAGAAAACAGAATTTTAAAAATGAACAAAGCCTCCAGGAAGTTTGGTATTATGTTAACTGACCAAACGTAAGAGTAATTGGTATTCCTGAAGAAGAAGAGAAATCTGAAAGTTTGGAAAACTTATTTGAGGGAATAATTGAAGAAAACTTCCCTGGCCTTGCTAGAGATCTAGACGTCTAAATACAAGAAGCTCGAAGAATACCTGGGAAGTTCATCACCAAAAGATCATCACTTAGCCACATAGTCATCAGGTTATCTAAAGTTGAAAAGAAAAAAGGGATCTTAAGAGATGTGAGGCAAAAGTATCAGGTAACCAATAAAGGAAAGCCTGTCGAATTAACAGCAGACTTCCCAGCAGAAACTCTACAAGCTAGGAGGGATGGAGATCCTATCTTTAGACTCCTTAAACAAAATAATTATCCAGCAAGAATTTTGTATCCAGTGAAACTAAGCATCATAAATGAAGGAAAGATAAAGTCTTTTTCAGACAAATACTGAGAGAATTCACTACCACCAAGCCAGCACTACAAGGACTGCTAAAAGTAGTTATAAATCTTGAAACAAAACCTTGAAATACACAAAAATAGAACCTCCTTAAAGCATAAATCTCATGGGGACCATACAATAACACAATGAAAAAACAAGGTATTCAGGCAACAACCAGCACAATGAGCAGAATAGTACCTCAAATCTCAATACTAACATTGAATGTAAATGGCTTAAATGCTCCTCTTAAAAGATACAGAATGGAAGAATGGATAATAATTCACCAACCAAGTATCTGCCGTCTTCAAGAGACTCACCTAACACATAAGGACTCAGATAAACTTAAGGTAAAGGGGTGGAAAAAGATATTCCGTGCAAATGGACACCAAAAGTGATCAGAAGTAGCTATTCTTATATCAGACAAAAGAGATTTTAATGTAACAACAGTTAAAAAAGACAATGAAGGGCATTATATAATGATAAAAGGACTAGTCCAACAGGAAAATATTACAATCCTAAATATATATGCACCTAACACCGGAGCTTCAAAATTTATAAAACAATTACTACTAGCCCAAAGAAATGAGATAGAAGGCAACACAATGATAGTGGGGGACTTCAATACTCCACTGACAGGACTAGACAAGTCATCAAGACAGAAAGCCAACAAAGAAACAGTGGACTTAAACTATACCCTAAAAACATCCATCAGCACATGGAACATTCTCCAAGACAGATCATACATAGGCCACAAAACAAGTTGCAATAAATTTAAGAAAATCAAAATTATATCAAGTACTCTTTCAGACCACAGTGAAATAAAATTGGAAATGAACTCCAAAGGAACTCTCAAAACCATGCAAATGCATGGAAATTAAATAATCTGTTCCTGAACAAAGTTTGAGTCAACAAGGAAATCAAGATGGAAATTTAAAAATTCCTTAAACTGAATGATAATAGTGACACAACCTATCAAAACCTCTGGGATACAGCAAAAACAGTGCTAAGAGAAAACTTCGGCCAAGGCGGGCAGATCACCTCAGGTTGGGAGTTCGAGACTAGCCTAACATGGAGAAACCCCGTCTCTACTAAAAATACAAAATTAGCTGGGTGTGGTGGTGCATGCCTGTAGTCCCAGCTACTTGGGAGGCTAAGGTGGAAGAATTGCTTGAACACGGGAGAAGGAGGTTGTGGTGAGCCAAGATCTTGCCATTGCACTCCAGCCTGGACAACAAGAGTGAAATTCCATCTCCAAAAAGTAAAAATTAAAAAAAAAAGAGGAAATTTCATAGCATTACAGTCCTACCTTAAAAAAGTCTGAAAGAACACAAATACACAATCTAAGGTCACACCTCAAGGAACTACAGCAACAAGAACAAACCAAACCAAACCCTAGCGGAAGAAAAGAAATAGCAACGATCTGAGGAGAACTAAATGAAATTTAAACAAAAAAAATAAAAAAGCTAAGGAAAACGAAAAGCTGGCTCTTTGAAAAGATAAACAAAATTGATAGATCATTAGTGAGATTAACCAAGAAAAGAAGGAGAAAGTCCTAATAAGCTCAATTAGAAATGAAACAGGAGATACTACAACCGATAAAATAGAAATACAAAGAATCATTCAATGCTACTATGGACACCTTTACAAGCTAAACTAGAAAATCTAGAGGAGACAGATAAATTCCTGAAATAAGCAACCTTCCTAGATTAAACCAGGAAGAAATAGAAACTCTGAACAGACCAATAACAAGCAGTGAGATTGAAATGGTAATTTAAAAATTGCCAAACAAAAAAAAAAGTCCAGGACCAGAAGGATTCACAACTGAATTCTATCAGACATTCAAAGAAGAATTCTCAACAATTCTACTGAAATTATTCCAAAAGACAGAGAAAGAGGGAATCCTCCTTAAATAATTCCATAAAGCCAGTATCACCCTAATATCAAAACTAGGAAAGGACATAACAAAAAAAGGAAACTACAGACCAATGTCCCTGATGAACATAGATATAAAAATCCTCAACAAAATACTACCTAACCAAATCCAACAGCATAGCAAAAAGATAATCCCCCATGATCAAGTGGGTTTCACACCAGGGATACAGGCATGGTTTAACATCCACAAGTCAATAAATGTGATACACCACATAAACATAATTTTTGTTAAAAAAATCACATTGTCATCTCAATAGACACAGAAAAAGCATTTGACAAAATTTTATGATTAAAACCCTCAACAAAATCTACATAGAAAAAAACATACCTTAAGGTAATAAAAGCCATCTGTGACAAACCCACAGCCAACATTATACTGAAGGGGAAAAAGCTGAAAGCATTCCCCCTGAGAACTGGAACAACGTAAGGACGCCCACTTTCACCACTTCTATTCAACATAGTACTGGAAGTCCTAGCCAGAGCAATCAGACAAGAGAAAGAAATAAAGGACATCCAAATTGGTAATGAGGAAGTCAAACTGTTGCTATTTGCTGATGATATGATTGTATACCTAGAACACCCTGAGCACTCACTCAAAAAGCTCTGAGATCTGATAAATGAATTCAGTAAAGTTTCAGGATACAAAATCAATGTACACAAATCAGTAACACTGCTATACACCAACAGCAACCAAGCTGAGAAACAAAGCAATAACTCAACCCCTTTTACAATAACTGCAAAAAATAAAATAAAATACTTAGGAATATACCTAACCAAGGAGGTGAAAGATCTCTGCAAGGAAAACTACAAAACATTGCTGAAAGAAATCATAGATGACACAAACAAATGGAAACATACCCCATGCTCATGAATGAATAGAATCAATATTGTGAAAATGACCATACTGCCAAAAGCAATCTATAAATTCAATGCAATTCTCATCAAAATATCATTATCATTCTTCACAGAACTAGAAAAAAAAAACCCTTAAATTTATATGGAACAAAAGAGCCCACATAGCCAAACCAAGAGTAAAGACAAAGAACAAATCTGGAGGCATCACATTACCTGACTTCAAACTATACTACCAGGCTATCATCACCAAAACAGCATGGTACTGGTATAAAAATAGGCACATAGACCAATGGAAGAGACTAGCAATCCCAGAAATAAAGCCAAATATTTACACCCAACTGATCTTTGACAAAGCAAATGAGAACATAAAGTAGGGAAAGGACACACTATTCAACAGGTGGTGCTGGGAATGATTGGCTAGCCACATGTAGAAGAATAAATCTGCATACTCATCTCTCACCTTATACAAAAATCAATTCAAGATGAATCAAATACTTAAATCTAAGACCTGAAATCATAAAAATTCTAAAAGATAACATTGGAAAAACTCTTCTAGACATTGGCTTGGCAAAGAGTTCATGACCAACAACCTAAAAGCAAATGCAACAAAGATAAATAGAAGGACTTAATTAAACTAGAAAGCTTCTGCACAGCACAAGAAATAATCAGCAGAGTAAACAGACAACCCACAGAGTGGGGGAAATTTTCACAAACTATGCATCCAACACAGGTCTAATATCCAGAATCTACAAGGAACTCAAACAAATCAGCAAGAAAAAAACAAATAATCCCATCAAAAAGTGGGCTAAGGACATAAATAACAATTCTCAAAAGAATATATACAAATGGCCAACAAACATATGAAAAAAATGCTCAACATCACTAATGATAAGGGAAATGCAAATCAAAACCACAGTGCTGGCCAGGCATCGTGGCTCACACCTGTAATCCCAGCACTTTGGGAGGCTGAGGCAGGTGGATCACCTGAGGTCAGGAGTTCGAGACCAACATGGTGAAACCCACATCTCTACTAAAAACACAAAAATTGCCGGGCATGGTTGTACACTCCTGTAGTCCCAGCTACTTGGTACTTGGGAAGCTGAGGCAGGAGAAAGAATCACTTGAACTCCAAAGGCTGAGGCAGACGAATCACTTGAACCCAGGAGGTGGAGGTTGCAGTGAGCTGAGGTCGAGCCACTGCACTCCAGCCTGGGTGACAGAACAAGACTTTATCTCAAAAACAAACAAACAAAACAAACAACAACAACAAAAAACACCACACAATGTGATACCACCTAACTCCTGCAAGAATGGCCATAATTTAAAAATCAAAAAATAATAGATATTGGCATGAATTTGGTGAAAAGGAAACACTTTTACACTGCTGGTGGGAATGTAAACTAGTACGACCACTATGGAAAACAGTATGGAGATTCCTTAAAGAACTAAACGTAGATCTACCATTTGATCCAGCAATCCCACTACTGGGTATTTATCCAGAGGAAAAGAAAGCATTATATGAAAAAAAGACACTTGCACACATATGTTTATAGCAGCACAATTCACAATTGCAAAAATATGAAACCAGCCCAAATGCCCATCAATCAATGAGTGGATTTAAAAAGGAATGAAATAATGGCATTGGCAGCAACCTGGATGGAGTTGGAGATCATTATTCCAAGTGAAGTAACTCAGGAATGGAAAACCAAATATCATATGTTCTCATGTGTAAGTGGGAACTAAGCTATGAGGACTCAAAGGCTTAAGGATGATGCAATGGACTCTGGGGACTTGGGAGAAGGGTGGGAGTGGGGTAAGAGATAAAAGACTACACATTAGGTACGGTGTACACTGCTCAGGTGATGGGTGCTCCAAAATCTCAGAAATCACCACAAAAGAACTTATCTATGTAACCAAACACCACATGTTCCCCAGAAACTATTAAAACAAAAATCATCATAGTAATTTTTAAAATAATAAAAAATTTAAAAAGAAAGACACGAAGTAGTGTATACTGTATGATTTTTATGTGAAATTCCACAACAGACAAAACTAACATATACTGGCAGACAGCAAGTCAGTGGTTAACTGGAGCTGAGGATGAGAGGAACTGACTAAAATAGGGCATGAACATTTGTCAAAATTCATTGAACTGTGCACATAAAATGGGAGCATATCATTGGATATAAATTATAAGTCAACAAAGTTGATTTTTTTAATGAAAAAAGTTTTTAAAATAAAAATTCTTGGTCCCCATTCCTAGTGATTCCAATACAGCAGGACTGGTATTATGGGAGGAGACCACCCCTCATATTGCCTTATGCCCATTTTCTGCCTCCAAAGAAAGAAAAACTAAAAACTAAAAGGCAGAAATGAAATCCACAAGCAGACAGCCCGGCGCCACACCCTGGGCCTGGTAGTTAAAGATCGACCCCTGACCTAATCGGTTATGTTATCTATAGATTACAGACATTGTATAGAAAAGCACTGTGAAAAATCCCTATCCTGTTGTGTTCCGATCTAATTACCGGTGCATGCAGCCCCCAGTCACGTACCCCCTGCTTGCTTAATCGACCACGACCCTCTCACGCGCACCCCCTTAGAGTTGTGAACCCTTAAAAAGGACAGAAATTGCTCACTCGGGGAGCTCAGCTCTTGAGACAGGAGTCTTGCCGATGCCCCCAGCCAAATAAACCCCTTCCTTCTTTAACTCGGTGTCTGAGGAATTTTGTCTGCGGCTTGTCCTGCTACAATATAGGGCTCAGAAATCTGCATTTTCAACAATCCGCATGGATAATTATGCTGCAGGCTGTTTCACTTATCGTATTCGTCTCTAATTTGCTGTCCAAGCACCCAATTCTTGGACAGCAAATCAACTAGGCAAACAAAGAAAATTCAGAAAAAAGAGTTTGAGTTTTTGTGTGCCCTTGTTTCATCCCCCAACCTCCATTCTTTAGCTGGAATGCTGGTCACTACCAAAGCATCCTCCTGTGTGCTGTTTCCCCTAACCGTGAGCTCAGCTGTGGATAAGCTTCCTTTATTCATTCTTTACCAAAGAAAGTTTGCTAGGAAGATAAATGGGAGAAAAGCAAAATAAAAACACATCAGGAATGCAGATAAACCAATATATGTGCAGAGCACAAGTTCCTTCTCATAAGGTCATTCAAGTCTGGCACCACGTGGTGGTGGGGGGTGGGCCAGCTCACTGGGCACATGGTACCCATAAATATGCCTACCCTGGGGGAATGGAAGGTTGACAGGGAGCCTGATGGACATGTGTGTGAAGAACGGAACAACACAATAACAAACATGCGAAGCGTACTCATAGCCCTTCCTCCTTCCCATCCCATTCCTATAAAAGAGGAAAGAACAACTCATTTCCTTCACGGGGCATGGTGGTATGCATCTGTAGTCCCACCTACTCAGGAAGCTGAGGCTAGAGGATTCCTTGATCCCAGGAGGTCAAGGATGGAGTAAGCTATGATCCTGCCACTGCACTCCAGCCTCGGTGACAGACAAGACTTTAAAAAAAAAAAAAAGTAAAGGAAAAGAAAAGGAAAGGGATATTTCCCTGCCAAATTAATTTAAACCAAGTGCTCTATTTCCATTCATTAGTTTTTTCCCTGCTGCCTGATGTATCTTTCTCATATCTGGCCCCCTGTTCTGTCTACCTGTTGAAATATTTCCCATTCTTCGTGGCCCAACTTGAGTAACACCTCTGTCAGAACTTATCAGATCAACACAGTCAAATGAATCCTCTCCCTCCCCTGAACTCTATGGCACTTGGCTTGAAGAGCTCTTACAGAAATCTTGAGTTGTGTTTTACTTATTCATGTGCATGGCATATCTACTCTATGAGATTGGAATCAACTTGATTATAGAAATGATAACTTATTATCTATGCTAGATGTGGCTTGCATAGATTCTGTACATTACTTTGCACCTAGTGAGTGGTGATTATTGTAGACATGAATGAATGATTCAATCGGTGCTGATTAATGTCTCTGAGCTTTTGCTCATGCTGTCTTCCCTTTATGGAAAACCCTTCCCACACCAAGGGTCACTTCCTGTAAGAAGCCTCCCTGGATCTCCAAGCTGCTGGCTCCTATAGCACTCTGGGCAAACCTCTGCCTGATTACTCACCACCACTATCATACGTCAAAGTTAATCATGACCAATTTCACCCACTTATTTATAAGCTTCAAAAAGCCTAACATTCCATTCTAGTCATGCTTCTCTTACCACCATCTAGCACAGTGTTTGGTAATAGTGTGCATTTTATAACTGTTTGTCAAATAGAATGATCTATTCAGAAGCTTCTGGAAGCGTTAGCCCTTGCCACAGAGGACCTCGTTTATTTAGTGTTTCTATCAGGAACTGCCACAGTTGTCTTGAGGTCTCACTCCCAGAGGAAACCCAGCATGAACAGCCTTCCCATCCCAAGTTTCGTCACGGATGAAGGAAGGAGCAGGACCAGACGCTCTTTAGGGTCCCTTAGAGCCCCAGGATTCTTGTGTTCCAGGGAATCCCCTGGCAGAATAGATTGCTGCGAGCAAAAGAGGCGAGTGTGGCCCCTCCTCAGCAGGTCTCTAGATGAACCCCAGCCTCTGGAAGGCCTGGACCTGGGAAAAAAGAATTCGCGTCCCTTCAGGGCCCCACGCCTTCCTGTCCTCCAGCACATTTCTCTTTCTTGGCCCCACCTTCCCTTTTTCTGCTTCCTCTCTGCTGGCCTCTCCCCTTCTCTTCCTTTCTTTTCTGTTTCTCTTCTCCTACAGGTCCCACCGCACCTTCCCAGTATCGCTGCTTCCCCTTCGCCTACTTCCCAGTCTGGCCAGTCAGATTCACCGTCCTTCTCGGGTCGCCTGCGTTATCTTGCTTTCCTCCCACGCCCCGACAGAGGCTCCCTCTCGCTGGCCTCCTCCCTCTCCTCTCTGCCCTGCAGGCAGCAGAGCCTTCGCTGACGCCAAGAGGCAGCGAGGTGGGGAGGCGAGGAGTTGGGGAGGTCTGGAGGTAGGGGGTGGGGTGGGGGTGGGGCCTTGCGCAGCCGCCCCGCCCCGCGATGCGTGTGTGAAGGTCGGGGTGGCAGTGACGCGGCGCCGGCGGGGGGAGGGAGGCTGGGCCGGTGGGAGAGGGAGGCGAGCCGACCGCTGGGCTGCTGGGCTCCCGCGCCCTCGCGCTCCCCGCCGCCAGCCCAGGCGCAGGCAGGGCGCAGGCGGCGGCGGGCGGCATGGAGAGCCTGCTGGAGAATCCGGTGCGCGCCGTGCTCTACCTCAAGGAGCTCACGGCCATCGTGCAGAACCAGCAGAGCCTCATCCACACCCAGCGAGAGCGTATCGACGAGCTGGAGCGGCGGCTGGACGAGCTGAGCGCTGAGAACCGCAGCCTGTGGGAGCACCAGCAGCTGCTGCAAGCCCAGCCTCCGCCCGGGCTCGTCCCCCCGTCATCGGCCCCGCTGCCGGCCGCTCCGGCCACCGCTCCTGCCGCCGCCGCCAGGGCCCAGGAACCTCTCCAGGACCAGGGACAGCGCTCAGCAGCCGCGCCGCATCCCGCGCCCGATCGGCCGCCGCGTCAGCACCACGGACAGCTCCTGGAGCAGCCCCAGCGGGGCCCTGGCAGCAGGGCTCACACACCCCAGTCGCCCCACAAGCATCTGGGGACACAAGGGGCCGTGACTGACAAGGAGAAGGAGCGTCCCCCGAGTTGCTGCGCTGCTGCCGGAGCCCTCCTTCAGCACAAATCCCCCTCCGCCCTCGGCAAGGGCGTCCTGAGCAGGAGACCTGAGTGAGCGGGGAGAGGAGATGGGCACTGTTGTGGTGGGAGCAAGGGAAGCAAGTGGGTGTGAGGGAGAGACGGGGACGTTGGGTGCGTAGGAGTCTAAAGGACCGGAGTGATGTGGCCTGAAGGCGCCAGAAGTGTGCAAAGGAGATTTTGGGTAAATGAGGGAACGATATCCCTGCTTGAGAAGGTTTTGGGGAATGCTGGAGCAAAAAGGAGTAACCAGACCATTAGTAGGAGCAAAGGAGGAAGGAGGTGGGTGTTAAGCGATTGGTGATACTGGGAACTGACAGCATTTAAACGGGGTTAGGCTGGGTTGAAGTTCGAGTGAAGATTAAACTGTAGAAAAGAGAACCATTGAAGGAATCTTTTTAAGTGAGAAAAAATTTGGAAGGAAGTTTGGGTAGTAAAAGTATTTGCATGGAGACTGAGATGTGAGAAAAGCTGAAGGCTTGGAAAGAGGCATGTGAAGAGCTTTAAAAAGGCTGGGGCCCAGGAAGAGTAGGACTGGGGTAGAGGGGAATCCAGGAGGCCGGGGACAAACCTGAAAAGCAGGAGTGATGTGGGAAACCAAGGGAGCTGGAGGCAGAGGAAGAGAAAATGTGGCTCTTTAGCTGGTGAAGTGGGAGCCACAGCTAGGAGTGGCTCATTTAGGGAAGCTTTCTCTTCTCTGACCTGATTGGACACCCTTCCTCTGAATTCCCGCAGAGCCGAAGAGGTGCAAGGGAACATCCCATCAAACCAATGGAGGACTCAGGCATGGCTTGAGGACTCAGTCTGGTTACAGCTTTTTCCTCCAACTCAAGGAGGGTTTTTCATACAGGGTGTTTGGCCGTTGTTGAAAGGGAGCAATGACATGGGGGACAGTTGGCAGATGGAGTTGGTATTCAGATGCCATGCCTGTTTAAATCTCCCTGTTAAGGCCAGCAACTGCAAACCCTTTTTTCCCGGTTATCTGGTGATCACTGAAATCTTGCCTTGGGTCCTGAGAGAAATGTTAACCTCTCAGTTCCTAGAACTTCAAGCTCTTTCTTCACTCAGGAGGTCCATGAACTAGGAATATGGGAAGAAGATATGAAAGTGTCTGGGATGTTCTCTCCTCTGTACTGGAAAGGCTGTGGCCATGTCTGCTTCTTTTCTCTGATTAGGCAAGTGATGGAGAACTAAACAAAGAACAGTTCAAGGGAAATTGTCCCTGGTCAGCACCTGACCTTGACAATGGTGATGCATAAGGGAATGGGGAGGGGGAAGTAGAGCTGAGAATCTCATCTTCATCCAGGTGCATTAAGTCTGGGAGATACTTGTGAATATTTGCTGTATTCCTTCAAAACTCATTTTCTTTTACCATCTGTGGTAGAGTTAGAGAAGTTGGGTTAGGGCAGGGTAGCTCACAGAGCACGTTGATCAAAACCACAGGATCTAAGAGGTGAAGGTCTAACATGATCTGGCTTGGCAGACTTAAAACATTTGATTCAAGTCCCAAGAAGATACAGTTTTCTACCCCAACTCCCTCAAAACCCCTTTGTACTTCCCTCAGTTTCACATTTTTATTTTTATTTTTTCCTTATCTGGCATAAAAAGCAGAAAGTCAGTTTTCCCTCAATGCCCAAGGCTCAGCAAAAGGCAACATTGTTCCAAGATACTAAGTGGTCTTTTCCCCCACATGAGGGGATGAATTTTTCCAGTCCCCTTCCCTGAGGGCAGCCACAGCTACCTGGTCATTATGATTTCTCTCCTCATGACTTTTGGTGTCTCCTGTCTCTCCCACTGCAACTCCACTTTCTTTGCATCTCTTCAGGGCACTGTGTGGCCAAGAAGAGTTGAGGAAAGATTATTTTTCTTAGACAAAGACATAGCCATAGCCTTCAGAGTGGCCTACGGAACCCAAACCCTTTCACTCAGTTGGTCCTGCTCGGAATCCTGGGATTTAGGAATCATCTGGGCTCCTGTCCAGCTCCACATGTCAATTCTGGAGAGGAGTTATAATATCCTCACCTTTCCTTCTCACCTGTCCTGCTTTTGCTTCCCAAAGGAGCAGAACAAAAATAAAAAATAATTAGCATGGTGGAGCAGAGTGGAAGTTATTGGAATCTTTCACTTAGAAAGTTGCCCCAGGCACTTAACAGTAATGCCTTACTTTCTCCAGATTCTCCAGCTTTTTCTCCTGCTCCCCAATCCTGCACACTCAGAAACATAGAGACCATAGATGTGCCTGCCTCCCCTCATCCCTGCAGCTCTCCTTCCTTGGATGTGAAAACATGGTAATCTTGGCTGGTTGAATATCTTCTGGACCACTCATTTCTTTCCCCACAGTGGCCCAACTTCAACACCAATTTCCCCACAGAGCTCAGGACGGAATCACCATTGCTAATGACATGTTTCGTCCTACCCTGCTCTCTGCCCGTGGCCCGTTTTGTATGTTTGTTCTCCTCTGCCCATAGTTGTCTATGATGCAGGACAAGATGGAGCCAGCAGGCAGACAGAGATCTCCATGGAGAGGGAGAGGTGAGGAGGAGGAGAGCAGAGCCAGCAGCCCCCTCCCTGGTATTGCTCCTGGGGAGCTCCCCGCAGAACTGGTTCTCTACTGGGAGTGCTGAAGCGGGAGGAAGAGATGGCACAGTGGGTCTTCCAATCATGGGTTTCCTGTGAATCCTCCCTCATTCTTCCTCTGGCCTCCTTTCAGCAAGAACGCGACCCCACTGAGGTGGCTGAAGAGTGGGTGAGGGTTTCCAGAGGCCAGGCACTCTGGTAGATGCATTATGTCCTCACACAGTTTGACTTTTATCCCCAGAACTCCTCTTCCTACCCAATTCCAGGAGAGGCAGAAGCCCTAGATAACTGGGACTGGAAAATAATGAATCATTTAATTGCCATCTTATCTGCATTAATACATAATCTGGCCTCTCTCCCTCCTTCAGCTGAGGGAGACACAAAGGTGGTGGTCTTGGAGGTCAGTCCAAGAAAGCAGCAATATGTGGGTGAGTGAATGCAGAGATATTATGGAAGAAAAACATTTGAAGGGTTAAAATTATTTCTCTGCATGCTTCTTGATTCTTGCTAAGCTCTGACCCCCACTGCTTTTGCCTCTTAATGAAAGCAGCAAACATAGCTTCCTCCTCCTTATTTTTTCAATCAAGGCTCACGGCATCTACAGAATTTATTACTATCCCTTTCCTGGCTGGTGCCAGAACCTCAACTTGACCTGACAAATCCTCTTGCCATGGAAGCACATGAACTTATCTGAAGTGGCTGGCTTCAGTGGCTTCTAAGCACATTTGCCCAACCACCAGTCATGCGTTTAGTGTCCATGGATGACAGGGCTTGTCCATGTCTCCAAGGCCACAGGCAGATGATTGCTGGAGGATAAATTCTTGCATCCCCATTCAAATTCATCTCCTACTCCAAATCCCAACCTCAATATGACTATGAAGTCTGAAGGGCTCCACAGCTCCTGTCTTCTCTCTGTTACATTGCTTCTTCCTTTCACATCCCTCCTCTGCCTCACTACCCTTTTTCCTTCATTCTCTTCTCCCCTTCTACCTCTCCCCCAAACACTTTATCTCTCCCATCTTCTCTTCCTTCTATCCTTCTTCCACATAAGCTACACAGGGAAATCTCTTTCTTCTCTACCCTTATCCTTTAAACACAAAATCAATCTTGAGTATCTTTTGAGCTCCCTCTTCTCATTCTGGCTGGAGGCTGGGGATAGCTAGAAGAGTTCTGGATGTGCTTTTTATCCTGATTTGTCTAAGATGCTGATGGGAACTGGGATCTCTGCTCCTATTGAGTCAGAGTTGCATGCTTGAAGGTGATAGCTCATGACTGGCCCATCCTGGAAACTATTAAGAAAGAAAGTGTGAAGGTCTGTCAGTCAACTATATGTATCAAGTGTCCAGTCTATTCAAAACCCTGCACTCAGTGCTGTGGAAAGATTGGAAAGAAGCAAATGGTCCTTGCTCAAAATAAAAGAGACACATATCTAGAAATGCCTAAACAAGTGTAAGTATATTGCAGCTGCCTAAAGCAATCCTCTATCAGAACAGCACAAGGTAAAAAGGGTGAGTATACAAATTATGTTAACAGCCAAAGAGCAGGTTTTCTTCACTGAAGTCAAAGGTTTATGTCAGAATTGTAAGAGGCAAGGATAGCTGGAAAGGGAACAGAAAGCAGAAAATTCAATCTATGGAGATACCTGTTTTGCATGTCCATTTCATTCCAGCCTCTGATGATACAGCCCTCTGCTCATCCTAAGTCCCTACCCATGAGGCCAAACCCTATCACTAGGTGAGGACAGTCTCAACACACAGGGACTTTGTCTACCTTGTGCCCAGAAGGCCTGGTTGCTGAGGTGGCATCGTATGGCCCATGCTCATCAATCTGCCTATCCTCTTGTTCTTCCCCTATCCCCAGCAGGGAGAGAGTTTCTAGTCTAAGAAATGGGGCCAGGATGAAGGCTCACTGGGAGAAGGGAGTGTGCGTCTTTTTATTCATAGCTAGAAGCTGGCATAGTGTGACCACTTGCAAAGATTTGCTGCCCTTTGCCTTCCTGAAGGCCTAGGCCACTGCTCTTCCTTTCTTTTCATCCAAAAATAATGCATTTAAGAGAACCAAGTCATCCCATGGTCTCTGGGAAACCCTGATTGTCTCACTCCTCCTTACCAGCCTCCAGCTCCCTCTTTCCTCACTCCCAATCTCTCCCCAGACCAATGCAGTGAATGCCATAGGGCCTCACAAAGGCATCCTGGCACATTTTCCTGCTGGCCCAAAACCAAGCAAAGGAAACAACAGTTGGTCCTGCTGATTCAGCAAATCTCTGCGCAGCCCGAGTTTCAAAGGTCACTTACGAGAAAAGGCAGCTGGGGTCGGGGCTGGGTGGAGAAGGAATGGAAGGGAGGGTAACATTAAAAAAGAGGGAAGGGCTGGGACAAACATCAGGGCTCACAATCTGGAAAGAGACTCAACTGCTGAATTTACACCCCATGTAAAGATTTTTGGACAAGCTGCCTTGTTGGGAAGCCTGAACATTTTTTTTCACTGGAGCCTAAGCATATCTCAGTGGCCCTGGGCACAGGGCAATGGCAGCTTAGTAAGGAGTTCTTAGTAAGAGGCCCTGGGGACACTCTCACTGCACCCAGCAGACTCTCAGAGGTGAGGCCATCTGGCAGGGTTTCCAAGGCTGGGACCACTGTAGCAACTTGCTCCTCTGCTTCTGGAAAAGCACAAAGTGCAGGTTCCCACAGAGGCTCCAAAGGGCTGCTTATTTCCATGGAAGAAAGGGGTGGTCATCTTTATTTCAGTCAATGAGGGCATTAACAAAAAGAAAGGGAATCAGGGCCAGGCGTGGTGGCTCACGCCTGTCATCCCAGCACTTTGGGAGGCTGAGGCGGGCAGATCACAAGGTCAGGAGATCGAGACCATCCTAGCTAACATGGTAAAAACCCGTCTCAACTAAAAAATGCAAAAAAATTAGCTGCTCATGGTGGCGGGCGCCTGTAGTCCCAGGTACTCGGGAGGCTGAGGCAGGAGAATGGCGTGAACCCAGGAGGCAGAGCTTGCAGTGAGCTGAGATCGTGCCACTGTACTCCAGCCTGGGTGACAGAGCGACACTCTGCCTAAAATATAAATAAATAAATAAATAAATAAATAAATAAATAAATAAATAAATAAAAAAGGGAATCAGGAGTAAGGCAAGGGCAAAGCTAAATCTTTCAGGCTGAAAGGAATTTCAGGTAACCACTGGATCACACAGTGTTCAAGATCCAGATGGTTGAGAACATGGGCTTTGGGCAAGCACGCCTGGGGAGAAATCTTGGTACCTCCCCAGCTGTGAGACGTCGCCTTCACTGTTTACTTTCTTTTAGCCTCTGTTTTTCCACTTATAAAATGGGGAAAATATCTACCTTAAAGACTTGTCGTAAAGTTGTAAAAATTACATATCATTTATTTAGTACTGTTTGGGGTACATAGTAAGTGCTCAATACATTGCAGTATTTCTACAGATAAAGAAACCAAGATGGCAGATCAGCTGAGGTCAGGAGTTTGAGACCAGCCTGGCCAACATGGTGAAACCCTGTCTCTACTAAAAATACAAAATTAGCCAGGGATGGTGGTCCATAGTAGTCCCAGCTACTCGGGAGGCTGAGGCAGGAGAATCACTTGAATCTAGGAGGCTGAGGTTGCAGTGAGCTGAGATTGCGCCACTGCACTCCAGTCTGGGCCACAGAGCGAGACTCCATGACCCCAAAAAAAAAGAAAAAGAAAAAGAAAAAGAAACCAGGGCCCAAGAAAGATAAAAGGTTCACCTGTTGTCAGATGACAGTGACAGACTAGAATGCAGGCTCAGGGTTTCTTCTACACTGCCAGGCCACCTTTCTACATGTGCTCTATTCTCATTTAGCCATTCCAGACACAGGAATGTTGAGCATACCCTGAAAAGCAACCAGCAGCACAAATCCACCATCCCTCTGTGATCTGTAATGCTGTCTCACAAATTTCTAGTTGGCAAAGGCTTCTTTAAGCCCAACTAAAACCTCTTCTGTTGAATTTTAAGATTATTTGCACTTCTCTTAAGGATATCAAAGAGATCTGAGTTATCACCCGATGCCCCATGGTGAGAACAATCACCCCTATTTCCTAATTAGGAAAATTACAGTCTCATCTAGGAGAAGGTACACTGACTTGTCAAGGACAAAAGTGGAGAGTGAGGGAAATGGCATCTGAACCCAGGAAGTGCTTCCCACTTCTTCAGAATGAGGCTGAATCAATTTCTCCAAGTTCCTCCTTCCTAGGGATGGAAGGTAGACCTGTACTTTTCAGAACTCTGAGGTCAGAAAGCTGAAAAGAACAGCAGGGAGGGACTAAGAGGCCTGATGTGTGGTTGTGGGTTTTCTTCTCTTAAAGACTTTTCTTACATGAGATATCTTCCAGGAAAATGAAAACAAATGAAAAAGAAAAGATGGTGGCCTTCTAAAATTCTCTCCCAGGGTGTTTGTGACTGTGAGGCCACCATAGGCAAAGACTGCTGATGTGTGTGTGTGCCCGGGTGGGGGTGGAGGGCAGACTGTTTTGCTGTTGCTCTTTGGTTGGAATAAGGGATCTGGGAGGGTTATGTAACTCTTCAAGACTGGTGTGCGTGCTGAGCGGCACCTTTCCTCCCTGGCAGGTGGGCTGCTATGGTCATGCGGGCAGCCTGTCCAAGTCCCTGCCCAGAGAAGGGCCCCGTGCTCTGTGCTGGCATCAGACCATTCCCTCTAAGCCACAGCTTCAGGGGCTAGAGGCTTTTAGGAGCTGGGCCAGGGTCTCCTAGCCCCATTGGGGAGTTAACCAGATATCAGAGCTAGAAGGATTCTTTAAGGTAACCTGTTCAAGATTCTCATTTGGCAAATGAGAAAACTAAGGCCTGAGGAGGAAGTGACTGTTGCTTCCAAACTAGCTAGTGTCAGAACTAGGTTTAGAGCTCAGATTCTCTTAACTCTTCATCCACTGCTCTCAACATTATGTGACGATGGACCAAAAGAGCCCATCAGGGCTGCTTCACAGGTGTGCAAGGCCAAACTTACAGCTAGTCCCATAACCCCAGGGAGGTCCCCGTGCCTTCCAGGATATCTCAACTATGTTAATAATTCCACAGTCAGAGACGACTTTAGGTACTTCAAGGTTATCCTCCTTGTTTAAATGCAAATTCTCCTAGGAAGGGGGACAAATCAACACATTTATTCTTATTAGTCTTTTATACTTTAGTGTGAAAGAGTTTATTTGAGCAATCTCCCAGAGAAGGGTTTGGTAAGAAGGGAGGATACTGGGGTAGCAGTGGTTAACTAAAGGCCAGGGAAGGAGGCTGCTAAGGAGCTGAAGGGCTCATGAGGGAGGCAGATCAGTCTAAATGTATTTTTAGCTCAACTAAATTTTGCAGAGAATTGGAATTGCCTTGTTTGGCTCTGGTAAGGAAAGGGGAGGGACACAGGGCACTTCCACTGACTGGTCATGGAATAGTAAGTCTTTGGGCTGTAGAAGGGATACTTTTCCAACGAACTTCATGTGTGGAAGACATAAAGCAAGAAGTTAAAGAGCATCATGATGTGTGATAAGCTTGTTTGCTCCTTTCTAGGATCTTAAAATAATTTTTTGGATGGTGAAATGTCACATGACTCTGTTGGGGTTTGCTATGGGGCAGGAAGATGTGGGCAGGAAGAGCTGGCAGGCAGCAGAGGTTGGTGTCGCACGAGCCTGAAGGGGATGGGAGATGAGAGTCAAACTCAACACCTAGAAGGTGCATGATAAATACTGGTTGAATACATAAACTCTCCGTCTGTAGGGCCCAGGCAGGCTCATGGATTGTTGAGTGGAGGTGGGTTGTGGTATCAGGGCTGAGGAAGAGTTGGGCAGAAGGGAGGACCCCTGGGTCCAACAGCACAGCTCACTGTCCTGAAGCTGAGCCCATGCGGAAAGCTGCTCTCAGAGGTTCAGTTCTTCAGGCTGGTTGGGGTGTGAGACGGATGAGGGGTGAGGAGAAGACTGCCCCCGGCAATAAACAGAACCGACCCCAATCCTAGCTATGAGCAGGGAGAGCCCTCTACTCCCTCTGCCCCCAGCCTCTGACCACTCTGTCAGCCCAGGAAGCTGCATTAAGAACAAATCTCTGCAGTGAGAGTTTCATCACACACACACACACACACACACACACACACACACACACACACACAAGGCCTCAGCAGGTGGAGTGAGAAACGGGCAATGGGCCTATGAAGGCAGGAGGGAAAGGAGGCTGGCATTGTGGCCGTATCTCTGGGGGAAAAGAGAGGAAAGAGCTGGATTCCGGGGTCATGAACCAGCAGCACCCAGATTCCAGGCCCCTTACCAGGCAGGATCAGCTGTGTTCAGGGAAGTGTCAATACCGTGACGGGACGGTGAGCAGGTGGTGCGCAGGCGTTTGTGGACCTGAGTGGGCACGACTGCGTGGGCAACTGTGTGTTACTGACTTGGGCTGGGGGAGTTGGAGGACAACCCACACTATACTAAAGATGCATAGGCTTCACAGCAAAGATCAGCATAGCTTTATCTCAGTATCTCCCAATGACCCCTGGCCTGGTCACGCCATCAGCACTCCCAGTTCCTTTTCCTTTCTCTGCATGAAGTGTTTCATCTCCATTGGCTAGCCAGATCCTCCTGGTTCTTCCCCTCTGTAAAATGGGGCAAATCTACCACGCCTCCATACCCACTCTGTCTGGAGCATGCGGGAGACCAGGCCCCAGAGGCGTGAGCTCCTGGGAAGAAGGCTGTGTGGAAGGGGACAGGTACAGGAGCTGTGCCACTGAACTCTACGGAGGTATAGTGTCTGGAAGCTCAGGTACGGGGCGGCCAGACACACACAAAGCTGTAGTGTGATTTTCCCTGCAGGATATCTCGGCCTAGCTGTGGCCAGGGCCTGGTACCAATGACCTCTCAGGGCTTTGGATGCACCAGGTCAAACCAGCCAACCACCTGCCTCCAATCAGGAATGCACGCCCCATCCCAGGCAGAGAGACAAGGGAGTTCCACAATTTCTTCCTTGATGAATGATTCCTATCTACCACAATTTTCATTCAATGCATCAAATCAACCAATGATTATTTAAAAACAGCAGCTACAAAAACTCTGCAAAGCGGGTGGGAATTTCCTGCTTGGGTCTAGCCTCCGTGTTTCCCGCGCACAGCCCGGTCTTTACCCTGGATGCTTCCGAACCGGCATCATCTGGCATCTCCGACAGTCTTGATGCGACTTAACGCATGGTAAGAACCCATCAGAGAAGGCCAAAGGGATTTCCAGAGACAGGTAGAGGCACTGCGCTGGGCAGCACCAGGGAGGAATATTATCTTTTCAAGCAGCTGGACTCTGACCTAGAAGCCGGAACTCCTGAGTACTGAGGTCAGCACCTCTCTCACACACCCCCAGCTATAAGCTTGAAGGAAGCCCCTCCCCTTCTCTGGGCCTTGATTTCCCCTCCTGCTCAGTGGGGACGTTCTTGGTCCTCCTTCTTGCCCACTCTACCCAGTCGCCGAGTCTGGCGAAGCAGAGCTGTCTGGGGGTCACCGCAGCAGGAGGGACCGAGCTTAGATACGAAAAAAGACTTCTACACGGCAAGAGCCACAGAAAGGACGCTCCAGCTGGCTCAGCAGAGGGGCATCTCTCCCTTTCAAGAACAAAAGGTGGCAGGTACCCGGGGGCCCTGGGGCAGAACGAGGTAAATTCTGCACGGACTTCCACATCTAAGACCCCAGAAATCTCCAGCCGGCTCCCTCCGACCGTGAGTGCGTAAAACCCGGGAGCAGCAGGAGGGGAGGGCGGGGGTGCAGCTGGCCCCCCTGGGGTGTCCCCTCAGTCCCTGCGCCCCCGACCCTCGCCGGGCCAGCCTGGGGAAAGCCTTTCCGCCTCCGTGCGCTGCCCCGACTCCTACGTGGGGAGGGAACGTGGAGTCGGGATCTCGGCGGCGTGGGCGGGCCGGCTGGCAGCCGGCAGGCGAGAAGGAATCTCCCGGCCCACGCGCCCCCTCCCAGCGTCCAGCCTCGCACTTCCTCGCGGGGGCGGCGGCGAGGACCTGCACCCCGGCGCGGGGAAGCCGCGTGCCCACAGCCTCCGCGCGCCCCCGCCGCCCCGCTGAGGAAGGCGGCTGCTGAGTCACCCGCGAAGGGAAGCGCGGCCCGGGCGCCCCCGCCTCCCCGCGCCCCAACCCCCGCGCACAGCCGCCCGCCCACGGTGTCTGGGGCCTCCCGGCGCAGGGCGCCGCCTCCTCCCGCGTTCCCGGCCCGAGGGGGCTCGGAAGGGGCTTCGGCGCTGCGGCACCGCCCGCCGCCAGCCCGGGGAGCATCGGGGCCGCGGCCTTCGGGCCGGGTGCTGGGTGCTGGGTGCGCGCCCCTCCTCGGCCTCCACGGGCCGCAGCCGGGGCTAGTGTGATGGTGCGAGTAGATTGCCTTGGAGAAGAAGGGGACATTGAGGCGGGGGCGGCTAGGAGGGGTCGGGGATGAGGACGGTGACACCGAGGTACAAATTCTACTCAGCATCCACCTTTCCTGTCTTCCTTGTACCCAAGACACCTCAGCAAAAAAAAAAAATAAATTTAAAACTCCCAGCCTTATCTTGGCCTTCTCATGTTTATGTTTGTGTTTTATCGCATCACAGTCTTAGAATTCCCAGGGCTGTAGGTCTCCTCAGCCTACGGTGCGGCATAATAGTTCTGAGCAGGGCCCTGGGTTTGAATCTCGACTCAGTCGTTCACTAGCTGTGTGATCTCAAGCAATGAGAGCCTCGCGTTTCCCGTTCGTAAAATAAGGAATACGAATGGTACCACCCTCCTGGGATTGCTGGGAAAATTCAGGGGTGATGCCAGTAAAGCGTCAGGCAAGCCGAGTGCCTGGCACGCAGTGAGGGCTCGACGCGGGGTGGTTGCTGTCACTTTGGGACCCTTCCAGTGGCAGAAGGTGCTCTTTGAAGGTGAGAGGCCTCACCACCCCCCACCCTGACCCCGGCATCTTCTAAGGGGCTCTGAACAGGACTCCTTCCCTGTTTGACTTCACACCCTTTCAAATATTTGAAGGCAGATAGCCATCCTTCCCTTCCCTTGCCTTCCAGTCCACTGACACCCCTCCGCCATCTACTTTCAGGAGAACATACCTGATCCTGGCACTTCCTGCTCCTCATGGTTCTGCGGGTGGCCCTGCCTCACCTGGGTTACTGCTCTCCGAGAACACAGAGGGAGCTGGGAGTGAGCCCTGCAGCGCAGGGGCTGTGGCCAGACCAGCTTTGGGCACAGGGAGGCCCTCCCTCACCCCCCGCCTAGCTTTGGATGGTGGCTAGGGACCCACTGGCTTTCTCAGCCCCAGCCACAGATGGGACCTATCACACATGAGGTCAGCTAAAGCCTCAGGGCTCTTTCACTTGAAGGACTCTGGCTTCTGGCCACCTGTACTTGTACAGGTGGCTTTTAACATACACACAAAATTGCTAATGTAATTTGCTTTTAATGTAATTCACCTTTTCCTTTCTTTAAGAGATGGTGACTCTGTCACCCAGGCTGGAGTACAGTGGCACAATCATTGCTCTCTGCAGCCTCGAACTCCTGCGCTCAAGTGATCCTCCCACCTCAGCCTCCCAGGTAGCTAGGACTACAGGCATGCATCACGACACCTGACTAATTTTCTTTGTTTTTGTAGAGACGGAGGCCTCCCTATGTTGCCCAGGCTGGTCTCGAACTCCTGGCCTCAAGCAATCTTCCCAATTCAGCCTCCAGAGTAGCTTGATTTACTCTTTTCAAATAGACAATACATTGACCTAGTACAAGATTCAAAAGAAAAGAGTTTACAGTGAAAAGCATCGCCCCCATCCTTGTTTCCTAACCACTCGAATTCCTGCCCGCCCCCACACCTTCCAGCAACCACTATTATTTCTCACGTCTTTCCAGCTATATGTACATTTAAGCAAAATGTTTATTTCTTTTTACAGAGATACTAGTATCCTATATGCTGTTCTGCACCTTGAGTTTTGTTCCCTAATAATGTATCTTAGTGATCTTTCCTTATTAAATATAAAAAGAGCTGCCGCGTTCTTTTTTAATAGCCGCAAAATATTCCACTGTATGGCTGTGAAGCTAGGTCCTTTCTGCTGTCTGCTGAGAGTTTTGGAAGGCAAGTAATTATTTAAGGTGGGCTTTCTGAGGGCCAGAGAGGGGAGGAAGCAGGTATGATTGAGCAGCTGCATTTGAACTTGCCTCTCTGGCTGACGTGCTGCTGCAGCCTCCTGCAGACATGGGTCAGTTGCAGCAGAAATACGATTCGGCAAGTGCTTCTCCGTCTGAAAACTCCAGCTTGGTTCACTTTTGCTCCCCGGGGCTCCCTTTGTTGTCAGCAGTTATCAAGTTTGGGGGAGCCATCAGGGTGTTAGCATCTGGCTCTAAACCAGCTGAAGGTGAGTCCTACAACCCCAGCAGTTTCAGGAAGCCTTCCTGAACCGATCTGATAAATAAATAGATGTTCTTATAGCCTCACTCCTTACTTTTCACCCCAGGCTGAGCACACACCAGTCCTTGCTAAGAACAAAATTAGTTCTTTATTCTTGTGGCTTAGAAAAGCTTGTTTTCTTCTTTCTGTAAGTATATATTTTCCTGGCATCTGTATTCTTCCTTTCACTTAACAAATATTTATTATCTGCTGTGTGCCAGTTACTATTCTAGGCCCTGGGGTATAGCAGTGAACAAAAAAACTCCCAAATTCCTTTATGAAGCTTACAGACAAACAAGATCACTAATGAAAACTTATAGTGCATCTGATGGGATAAGAGCCCTGGAGAAAAAGCAGAGAAGAGACCCGGAATAAAGGAATCTGCACTTTCAAACTGGGTGCCCTGGGGAGACAGCACCTGAGCAAAGTCCTGGAGGAGGGGAGGGAGGGAGTTCTGTGGCTGTCTGGGGACGGGCATTCCTGGCAGGACAAACAGCTAGCATAGAGGCCAAGGGTGGGACCCTGCCAGGTTGTTCAAGTAAGACAAGGGCCGAGAGCACAGGGAGAGGCGCCTGAGGCCAAGTCAGAGAGATTGTTGGGGCATGGGAGGGTAGGAGGGTGCAGGCGCGTAGCAGATCTTGTAAGAGATTCTCAACTGGGATTTCCAGGTCCACCAGGGAGCATTTGGAATGTGTGGGCACATTTTAGTTGTCACAAATGCTGATGGGGCTTGGATGAGGAAGGTTGTTGTTCTGTGGCATGCAGTGGGTAAGGGCCATGTCAAACATCCTGCAGTGTGTGGGACAGACCACACAGTGAAGAATTTTCCTGCCAGAAATGCCCCTGTTTCTTGTTGTTGAGGGCATTGGAGTCCGTTAGGAAGTGTTTGGCTTTTACCTTCAGAAAAACTAGGAACCAGTGGATGACTTTGAGCAGAGGGTGCTTAAAAGGAACTTTGGATGCTGGTTTGAGAATAGACTGAAGAGGGAAGAAAGGCAGAAGCAGGGAGTTCAGGTAGAAGGTTGTTACACAGCCCAGGTAAGAGATGCTAGTAGCTTGGACCAGGGTAGTAGCAATGAAAGTATGATCTGCAGCCAAGACAACAGTACTTCCTGAGGGATCAGTGTGGGATGTGAGACAAAGAGGAGTTGAGGATGAGCTCAAGGTTTGGGGCCAAAGTTATTAGAAGGATGGGATGGAGAAGTCCATGGGGGATGAGGAGGTTTGAGCATTTGACGGATGGCGTTTGAGACAGCTCTTAGATGTTTGAGAGGAGATGTGCAGTAGGCATTTGGAATGGGCTGGAGGTATAACTTTGGGATGCTTTTAAAGCCTTGAGACTGGGCCACGCCACCAAGGAGTGAGAACAGAAGATGAAAGAGGCCTAGGGCAGATTTGCAATGCACACAACACTAAAAGGTGGGCATGGGAGCTGAGAAGGAGCACCCAGAGGGAGGAGAACAGCCAGGAGAAGCACCTAGTGTTCTGGCAAAGAGCGTTTCAAAGGCTGCTGAAACGTGGAGGATGCAGACTGAGAACTGTCCATTAGCTTTAGCAACATTCAGGTAATTGGTGACCTTGAAAAGCATAGTCTTGGGAGTGGATTTGGAGGCTTGATTAGTGGGTTTGAGAGAGAAGGGAGGAGAGACTTTAGAGACAAATCAACCAAATAGAACATGTGGACCTTTGATCCGGCTTGATTTAGACAAAGCCATTGGAACTAGACATTTTTAAGACAGTCGGGGAATTTGAACGTAGATGAAGTATTAGGTGATGTTAGAAAATTGTTAATTTAGTTAGGTATGATTATGGTACTCATATCTTTTTAAAGTTCTTACCTATTAGAGGGATACATTGTGGGTGAAATGATATTTCTGGGGCTTGCTTTATAACACTGTAGCAAAAAAGTTGGGAAGTAGAAGACTGGCAAAATATATGTTTGACATTTCCCTAATAAAATGTGTAAAAGATGCCAGAATGGGAGGAATTGTAGAAAGTTCTGATGAGTTTTGCTATAAAGAGAAGCAAAGAAATGGGGTGACCGCTGAAGGGACGAAGCGGGTTCAAGACAAAGGATTGTTCTTTAAGATGGGAGAAGTCATAGCATGTTTGTTTCAGCAGCATGTCAGCTAACTACACATGCTGACCGTCCACCGCAGCAAAGGCCCTGTCCTAACTCCTGTAGGGAAACTGAGAATGACTACATCACTCCTGGAGGAAAGTCATCATTTAATGAAAGCTGACATTGACCATGCACTTACTATGAGTGAGGCACGGTGTTAAGCACTTTACAAACTTTCTCTCGATGTGTCCTAATAACACCTTCCCGAGCTAGGCTCCATTCTGTATTCCAAGCAACGTGAGGTTGCTTGTGCAGATTCACACTCAGCCAGTGTGACCCTGGCAGGCAGTGCTCCTAGCCTCTACTCTCCATGGCCACCCCGCAGACAACTACAGTAACATGCATCCAAATCTCCAGGAGAAGTTTTTTCCAAATCCACGTGGCCCAGCCTCAGCACTGGAGACTGTTGTTCAGCAGGGGATAGGGGAAAGAAGACAGCCACAAATGCTTGCAGTGAGGCTCTCAGGAGGTTCTGACGCAGTTCCCTGCTGGAAAACCATCAGGATATATCAGCCTGGGCACACTCACTTATCGTCGCATACACCAGGGTTCACACCGGTGCTGTGGGTAATTAGGCTGGCTGAGGCTAGGGAAAAAATTAAAATGTGATGAGCTGGGCTGTACAGGAGAAAGGAGAGGAGGGCAGCTGAGCGTGGCATTGTCATTTAGGGATGGGAAATTCTGTTTAGGTTCCTCAAGGGCCAGAATCATATGTATACATTCATTTCACAAGTATTTGTTGAGCACCTACGGCATGTCAGGGGCACAGGGATTCGCGGTGAACAAGTCGAACAAAGCCCCTGCCGTCATGGAGCTCCCATTCCAGAGGAGAAGGCAGATATTTAACAAGAAAATTCACACACGTATAACAGAAATTCCCAAGGACTAGAAGAAAAGTACGGGGGTGGCTAGGGGGAGGATAGCTCTGAAGAGAAGTCCTCACTTAGGGGGTGGCATCTGAGCAGAGAGATGAAATAAAACAGAGCACGTGAAGACCTCAGGGGAAAGCGTTCCGTGTAAAGGCCCTGGGGCTGAAGGAAAGGCATGTGTTCAAAGAACAGAAGAAGGGAAGGGGGGCCAGAGGGGAGCAAGAGAGGGAGGAAAGAGACAGGGAGAGGAGATGGCATCACAGTGGGCCTTCTGAGGGAGTTTGTGGGGAGAGAGGTTGATGGGAAGGCGGGCGGGGGAGGAGGTGGGTTGAGAAGTGGAATGATGTGATCCACACTAGAAAACAGAGCTTAGGGGTTCAAAGGCAGAGAAGGGAGAGCAGTTCAGCAGGGAGCCCCGGAGCGCCGTGCACCCTTGTTTGGTGTCCACTCATTTATCCAACCTTCCTTTCAACCTCCACTTACTTGATTTCTGCTGTGTGCTCGACATTGCTGTGCATTTGTTATCTCATTTATCCACATGGTACTGACGGGAAGATATTACAGTCCCTACTTCACAGAGGCAAACTGAGGCTCAAAGAGGTTAAGGTGATCCACCCAGGGTCACACAGCTAAAGTGACATCTTCAGGATTCGTGTGTGAGCCTCTTACACCCTGGCATAGCTGTCCTCACTGTAAGAGGAGTCCCCTGTGGTGTGGGAAGTGCTTCCCCCAGGCAAAGCCTAATCTGGGACAGAGACCATTGTTCAGGAACAGAAAGGCTGGTGGCATCGTGCCCATATGACAGTTGTTCACGTTGCTGCAGCTCTGAATTTGGCCCGTGGCCCACTCATCTCAGTGCCCAGCCTGGCAGGACTGGGCTTGATGACTGGCAGAGTACCACCCACATGCAGCCACAAGATGAATGGTTTACAGGTCCCCATGGGACATCACATCCCTGCGTGGCCCATATGGTCAGGAGGGTTCACATAGTGGACAAAACATCCTTGTTCTCAGCTCTGCATGTGTGCGTGTATGCCTGCACATGTGTGCACGGGCAGGGTTGTATGTGAGAATATGTATGTGTGTATGTATGCATTTACAAATCCAGGAGTGTGCACACATGTGCAGGATGGTGTGTGCATAGGTTTGGGGCGTTTAGGACCTATGTGCATTGTTGTAAGAGCTCTGAATGAGTGCATGAAGGGAAGCCTGCATGTATATGTGTGTCCACCAAGAGGTACGGGTGTATGTTTGTGTGTACACATCTTTGTGCACCCAGGCAGGTGTGTATGAGTATGTTGAGCCTTTGGGTTTAGCAGATTCACCAGAAGCAAACAGCTGTTTTTGTGGGCATGTGATTGAGGTACCTGAGCAGTCTATGCTAGAAGGTCAGTTGAAGCTCTGGAATTGGGGATTGGCTGGGTAGGTTTTGATGTTTCTGTCAAACTTCAAGAGTCTGACTGTGCTATGAAGGGCAAGATCAAGGCTCTTCCACTCACAGCCCAGAGGCCACCTCCTCTGCAGATGCCTGGGGTCAGGGGGTACAGTGAGAATGGATGCCAGAAGCAGCGTGCAGCAAAAAAAGTCAGAGCTGTGGGTCCTCGGGAGGTCGTCAAACCTCCGTTAGCCTCAAATGGCATTAATAATAATAATGACATTAATTATCATTAGTATCATATTTTTCCATGGGATTACTCTTAGGATGTTCAGAAAGGTTTTTTAAATCAGAAACATGCATAAATGCAGTGTTGCTATTGGTCAGGACTTGCCTTCGCCATTCCTGGAGAAACACTGCGTGCCCACAGCTGACGAAAGGTGGGTTAGGAACGCTGTGGAGGCATGCTGCCCTGGCGCTGTGAGGCAGGACTTGGTGAGGAGCAGCCTCAGAGCCTGGCAGAGGCCCAATGGCTTTGATCCGTCCTTTCAAGCTGGCTTTGCCTAGCTGCCAGGCACCCATCTGCCAGGTAATACAGAGATCTCTTGTGAGGGAAGCTGGCAGGATGCAGCCACGGGCCCAGCTCTGCAATTCATGCTGTGCTGCCACGCCTGGCACTGGGAGCCCTCTTGGCTCCCTGCAAAGTCTGCTGGAGTTCAAAGAACTAGGCCTCAAGCTGGGCAACTAAATGGCTCTGGCATTTCTGACAGTGCCACCCTGCTGGGCAGGAAGAGAGACAGTGGCATGGAGCTCGAGGACTGACAGCAAGCTCTCACTGTTCTGGGGCTGGGCTGAGTGGCGGGGTGAGCATGGCCGAAAAGGAAGCTAGGGCCTCCTGGCATGCTCAAGTTACAGCCTGGGTTTCCTGTTCTGAGTTAAGCTCCCCCAAGACTGCCAGGTAGATGCCAAGGCTGTGATACTGAGCAAATATCTTAGACTCTCTGAGCCTCCTCATCTGTAAAATGAGGATTAGTTATAGAGATGTTGTACTGCCTTGAGCGTGTGTTGATACTGATGAGTAGGTCTGTGTCTCTAGCATGTGTTGTGCCTTTGTTTCCAGGCATGTGCATGTTTCATATATGTGCACACTTAATCCCCCATTTCTCTCCAGCACCCTTAGGAATCGGGATTTATTCACACATTCAGTCAACAAACCATTTCTGCTCTAAGCCATGTGCCAGGCTATGTTCTGTACTGGATGTAGAGATGAATTGGTCACAGGCATGGCTCTGGAAAACTCATTCTAGTATAGGGAGATATGACATGTATATAAACATCAGTGATACAGAGTGGAAAAAATAGATGTTGCATTCCACTAATGTCTCAGGGAAGCTGCTGAAGGAGTTCAGAGGTGGGCGCTTCCGGCCTAGGTGGGGCAGAGGCCAGCAGGGTTGGGGGTGAGCACAAAACAAACAAGGGAAGGCTTTGTGGGAGGAATGTCTTTGGCACTGGACTCTGAAGGCTGGGCAGATTCTGGATGTCTAGATTTCTGAGAAGCCTGGGATCACTGGCTGAGATGGCCATCACCTTTAGCCTATTTCCTAATTGTAACATGGTGGTATGGGTACAGGCTTTGCTGTCCCCATAATACTGTGAGGCTTTGGAGTGTGCGGTAATCGGGTCTGGGACAGTGAGGGCTTACTCATTGGACCAGGCTCAGATCTAAGCATTTTAGATCTGTTAGCTCATTTGCTCATCACAATAAGCCTTCGAGATAGATGCTGTCCATATCCTATTTTATGAGTAAGGAAACTGAGGCTCAGTCAGGCAAAGATATTAACAGGAAAATAGCAAAGACGGACTTTGAACTCCAGACAGCTCCTGCCTACCCCATATCAGCGCACGGCCTAGTACAAGCATTTTTGTGTGTGTGTGCCTGCTCTGTGCTAGGTATTGTACTAAGCACAACACAGGTATCTTGTTTGACCTTCACAACAACCTGATGAGGTCATTTCTTGTATGACCTCCCTTTTACAGTTCAGGAGACCGAGGCTGAAGAAGATCAGATAATCTGCCTGTGATTCCACACCCATCTTTTGGAAGGGCAAGGATGCTATGCAGGTCTTCCCAGATCCTTAGATCTGGGAAGGCCTACAGCTCTCCGTGAAATTGTGCTCTCTCCTGTGGTTCTAGAAAGGGCCTCCATGAAATTCCTTCCCCAAAGTGTTCTGTGGCTCCCTCTCAGCTATATGCAGGTGCACTCCTAGGACCAGAGGCAAATAACCAACAACATGCTGTGAGAGCTACCTCAAAACTCAAAATAACAAAACAGATCTCTGTTTTGCTCAGAAATCTGTAGTTTTGGCAGAGCTTATTGGGGACAGCTTTTTTCTGTTCTGCATCATATCTGCTAGAGGGGCTTGGAGGATGGAGGTTCATTATCAGGATGGTCATCAAGCGGCTGTCAAGCTGGGGATGGCTGTTTGTTCCTTTCCATGCACGCCTCTCCATGGAGTCATTTGGGCTTCCTCCCAGCATGAAGGCTGATTTCCTCTCATCACCATGCAAAAAAAGTACTAGGAAAACCAGGGCAGAACACTTCTCTGAAAGTCATGGGAGGGGAGTGTTTCAAATAGGGAGATTTGGGCCAACGTATGCTACAGAAAAGTGAAGTCAGACGCTGAGAAGTTCTTAGATTTGGCAACTAAGAGATCACTAGGGACCTCCCTAGATTAAATTCTGCTAGGCCTCTGGGGGAAGAACCCAGATGACAGCAAGTTGGCAAGAGATCAAGGTGAAAGGAAGCTCACACAAGCAGACAACTCTTTTTGGAAGACTGACTGCAGAAGGAAAGAGTTGTAACCAGGGGAGCAGAGTTGTAGGGAATAATCATGGTTTTAGGATGAGAGATTTGAGCATGTTTATATGCTGAAGAAAAAGGGCCTATGAAAATAATGACACTGAAGACCAGTGGGGGAGGAAAGGGGGTAAAGAGCGATAGGGCTTGGAGGGAAGGCAAACAGCTCTTCCTTGAGATCAAAGGTATCAGAAGTAGGACACATTCATAACAGCTACCATGTATTAGCCGTGTTCTGTTGTAAGGGCTTTCAAAGTGTTTTAACTCATTTCATCCTTATACAGTCCTTTAAAAAAGTTCTGTTGTATACGTGCGGTTAGGTAGGATTCCTCAGGAAGGATTCCCGCAGGCTTCACCGAAAGGAGGACTATGGCGGGCCCTTGCAGGGAGGGGCACGCAGCACCTCTCTAAGGCCAGCATGACTGGACACGGCAGAGCTGGCTTCCCGAAGCAGCAGGAGGGCTTCGGGTTAGAAGCATGTTTTCTCAGCTGTTTCTTAAAAAAGGAAACTTATTTTTTTCAAAATTAAACCTAACAGATATTCCTAAGACATAAAACTAACCAAATCAGAGCTTCATTAGTTGAATGGAAGGTTCTGTGCTCTGCCTTCTCCATTCTCCTCTTAACCTTAATAAGGTCCCTGCAGCAGCTGGTGGGGCACTGGGCCTCTTCGGAGTACAACAGAAAAAACACTGAGTTACTGCAAGACCAAACTCATACTCTTTTATGAACATCTGAAAAACGTACAGTGTGTTTTTAGGAAAAACCTCACTGAATAATAAAGGGGCAGGTCACTGTTTTCCTAGGACTCTGTTATCCTTCTTTTCCTTGATGGCAGAGGCATGGACTAGAAGAACGTCAAAGCTCCCCCAAAGAAAAGTGAGCAGAGAATCAAAGAGAAGCAAGTCCTGGAGAGCAGGGGGTCCCTGTGGAGATTCCATCCTCTGGCAGGCTTGGGGCAGAACACTGAACCTGGTTGGCCAACCTGGGTCTGGATACCAACAGGCCAATGTTTTCTACAGCCTTTTGCCCCGGCTTCTGGAACAGCTGTAACTGCTTGCCTTATTAAGATCTTCCCAAAGCTCTCTGTGGAAGACTGTACAGTGGTAGATTGCACCAGTGAGCAAAGGAAATCTACCTCTCCCTCCACAGCCCCCAGGCCTGCAGAAGAAAATAGGGACCAGAAAGAAGGAAGTCAAGATGGCATCCTGGTAGGGCTCTGTTTGAAAGAGAATTGTGGTTGCTGAGTTTCTCAGTAGCAGAGACTAATAATATCAGTAATATTCATTATAAGGTTTTGCATTTGTGCAGGGTTTATTATGTTTCTCTCAAGGTAGTTTCATATTCAAGTCTTGCTTGAATATGAATCCCCCACAGTTCAGTAAAATAAATAAGGCAGGTGTAGGAGCCTTGTTTACCATGACCTGACCCTCCCAAAGGTGAGCATAGAGTAGGGGCTGGGTCTGCATCTCCAGCCCAGAGCTGTTTCTATCAAACCTTCTAGGGACTCTCAGTCCTTAGGCCCAGGCCCCAAATTTCCCCCATTCAGCCATCCCCACCCCCAATTTTCTCATTGTCCCAGTTTCTGGCCCCCTGGACTCCTTTGGCTCAGTGATGAACCATCTAGTCTCTGAAAATACAATCTAGCAGTTGAAAGGAAAGAAAAATATAATGTCTTTTTCTACTGCTTGGAAGGGGGTTAATCATTAGGTGATCTGGGGGCAATGGGTGGAGGGAAATTAGAAAGGAAATTATTCTAAAGCCTCTTGATAAAATAGCAAGAAATGAGAAGGAAGAGGAAAAGATTTTGGTCTTTTTTCTTTTTAAAAATCAGTTGGATTAAGCTAAAATTAGATACAATAAAATTCAGCCGTTTTACATGTATAACTTGATGAGTTTTGAAACATTACACTTGTGTAACAACTATCTCAGTCAAGATACAAACATTTTCATCAGCCAAGTGACCCTTTGTTCCCTCTTACAGTTCATCCCTTCCTTCCTGCATTGCTGAAACTTACCTCTGTCAATATAGTTGTGTCTTTTCTAGAATATTATATAAGTGGAATCATACAATATGGAGTCTTTTGTGGACACCTTCCTTTATTTAATACAACGTTTATGAAATTCATCCATGTTGGCTGATGTATCAGTAAGCATGTTCCTTTTTATTGCTGAATAGTATTACATTGAATGGACATACCACAATTTATCCATTTGCCAGTTAGTGGACATTTACATTGTTTCTGGGTGGTTTTTTACATACATGAATAGTTTCGTATCAGTATAACTTTTTGTTTATCTTGGGTAAATACCTAGGAATGCAATTGGAAGGGTATATGATAAATGTATGTTTAACTTTAGAAGAAACTGCAAGACTGTTTTCCAAAGTGTGGCACTATTTTGCATTCCTTTCAGAGGTGTATGAGAGTTCCAGGTGCTCCGCACCCTTGTCAACACTCGGTTTTGTCAGACACAGATTTTATTCATTCTAGTGGGTGTGTAATAGTATCTGCTTGTGGTTTTAATTGGCAATTCCCTAATGACTAGTGATGTTGAAGATCTTGTCGTGTGCTTGTTTGTCCTTAGTATATTTCCTTTGGAGAAGTGTCTGTTCAAATCTCTTGTACATTTTCCTATCAGGTTGTTTGTCTTTTTATTATTGAGTTGTAGCAGTTCTTCAAAGAGAAAAATTGATGTACCTTTTTCATTTCAATGAAGGCTAACTTAGCAATTTTTTTGTTTCGTGGCTTGTGCTTTCTGGTCCTATCTATGAAATCTTTGCATATCCTAAAGCCACATATTATCTTCTATATTTTCTTTGAGATGTGTTATGGTTTTATCTGTTATTTTAAGTCTATGATCTATTTTTTAAATTTTTATGTATGGCATAAGGCATGGATTGAAGTCTATTTTTTTGCATCTGGATATCCAGTTGTTTCAGCACTATCTGTTAAAAAGTTTATCATTCCTTTTTGAATGCCTTGGTACTTTTACCAAGGGTCAATTTATGATATATGTATGGATCTATTTCTGGCTTCTCTTTTTGTTCAATCTGTGTGTCTATTCTTATGCCACCACTGCACCATCTTAATTATGGTAGCTTCATTTTCAGTCTTGAAACCATCCAGTGAAGTCCTACAACTTGTTCTTGTTTTTCAAAGTTGTTTTGGCTATCCCCTCCTCCTCCTCACCCCAGGAATCAGAGGTTTCTGAAAAAATAAGGGTTTCTTTTCTTCCTATTTATTAAGTTTAAATAGAAAAGGCTCTTTGGAGGAGGTGAGAAAATTAAGAGAAAGTGGAAAAAAATCCAGTCTGCAGGCTCCACCAGCAGTAGTGATGGTGGTACCAAGATGGGTGGGGATGGGGCAGGTGACCAGAAGCAATTTTATGATTTCTCCCTTCTCCTGGAGCTCAAGGCAGCTCCTTTAGAGAGGTTCCCTGGCTGTTTCCTTCTGAAGGCTGGGGATTCAGTCTGCTATCCTCAGCTTGGTGAAGGGAGGGGGATCCTCCTTCAGAGTTGCCCCCTGGGACTTCCGGCTTGGCCTCCTTTATTCTCCTGCTGGGAGCACCTCCCTCCCGCTCAAGCCCTCTCCTGCTTCTCCCACTGTGGTACTGCACTCTTCATCAGTTCTTCTAAACCACTCAACTATTTTTATGGCCATGCAGTGGAACCCTGAGTCTGACACTAAATATAGATGTGGGAAGTTACAGCGCACAGCCTCCTGTAATCCTGTGAGCCTGGCTCTGGATGCGGCTTTCCTGAGCTCCTTGCTGCACTTGATGCTCCTTCCCCATCTGGCCAGCTGGCCCTGACTGTTGCTCCTCTGGCAGCGCTACTCCCCCATCTTCCTGGTTCTTTAAGAAACAGGGAGGCCCAGCGCGGTTGTTCATGCCTGTAATCCCAGCACTTTGGGAGGCCAAGGTGGATGGATCACTGGAGCCGAGGAGTTCGAGACCAGCCTGGGCAGCATGATGAAACTCTGTCTCTACAAAAAAGTCAAAAAGAAAGTATCTGGGTGTGGTGGCACATGCCTGTGGTCCCAACTACTTGGGAGCATTGCTTGAGCCTGGGAGGTTGGAGGTTGGAGGTTGGAGGTTGCAGTGAGCTGAGATCGTGCCACTGCACTCCAGGCTGGGCGATGGAGTGAGACCCTGTCTCAAAAAAAAGAAAGAAAGAAAAGAAAGAAGCAGGGTTCTTTCCTGACTGACCCCCAGCTTCCCCTCTTCCTTCAGGTCTGCGCTGCCTCCAGTGCAGACCATTGACTCCCATCTCGCTTGGGAGATGCCTTGGAATTCCCAGAGCCAGCTGCTCCTTGATGGCCAAGGAACACAGCCTCCTACCCTGGTCCAGTCTCATTCTGAGTGCGGCAAGCTCCTGCCCAGCCCAGCCTCACAGCACGACTAGGGATCCCCAACACATAAAAACCTCATACTGGGCCCACAGACTACCTCATGTTTAGGTTTTACCACATCCATCCAACAGTCCAGCTGCCCCATCAGAACTCATCAATATGGGGGATTTGGGACTGCTGAAGCCACAGGGGACTGAATTCTGCTTCAAGCCATTGGCCCTGGAAGAAGTCTTTGGCTGGGATTCTGTAAGCTTCCCTCAAGGAACATGGCCCAGTCTCAGTTCTTGGCTTTTGGAAGAGAAAAAGCCAGAGACCGAGAATGACGATGTTCCTTTTTCATAGAGGTCCTTCCATTGCCAGTTTCCTTCGGCCCCTCCAGCCGCAGAACTCGCAGGGCCACAGCCTTGGGCTGTGGTTCCCATGACTACAATGTGAATGGTACCCCCAGACTTGTGTGTCACAGGGGCTCTGAGAATGCCCCTCCCAGGCTCGTGCTGTGAGGTAGATTGGGGGCTGTATGGTTCCAAAGGCCTAAGGCACTTGAGTGGTTCCCCTGCTGCCCCCACCCCAAGTGTGGTGATTGCACTCGGGCCTACGGGGACCTCTCTCCTTTCTTTACTTCTCCAGCAGCGATGGGGAGCAGCCGAGATCCGGGTCCCGGGCCCCCTCCCTAAAGGCCCCGCATCTCAGGATTTGCTCGACCTGCTGGGACCCTGTCTCACTCTGCTGTAGGCCTCAGTTTCCACCACAATGAAATAGGGATGCAGAGATGCTGCATGCCACCATCTGCCCTGGTGTGACGATTCAGGTACAGAGAGCTGAGCGTGTTGAGTGTGCAGCCCCTGGGAAGCAGGTTCTGAGAACAGCTGGTTCTTGCTGTATTGAGGAGACATTTTCTGCCCCTTGGTGCTCACAAAATGCAGCACTGGTTGATTTCAAGAATGCAAGAAGCATTATCTGAGGAAGAAATACTTCCTTTCTTTCTGTCATTTTCACAGATGAAATAAAAGGGCTGGGTCAGGAAGGTGAATGAATAAAAGGTACTTTTGTGTGGCCTTTGCCTTTATAATGTGCCTTGCCATTCGCTGTTGTATTTGCCCTCCTAAAAGCCCTGCAAGGTGCAGGAGCTACTATTATCCTAGCTTTACTGGCAAGAAAACTGAGGCTTTGAGAGATAAGGACTTAAATGAATGCACACAGGGATTGTGATCCACTTGTGGAGAACTGGTGCACCTGGCATGGACCCCCCCAAAGCTTCACTGGGGTTTGAGGGTGGTGGCAGGACCTCAAGCCAGCCCTCCTGAGGTAAGAAAGCCTTACTCTGGGGTCTGTGGACAGAAGCAGGTTGTGCCCATGGTCCCCTGCCTCCCAGGTGGACAGATTCTGATGGGACATCCTGGCAACAACCTCAGGTTGGTGCCACCAAGAGATCCCGTCCCTTCCTGTCCCCTGCTCACCTTGCCAGCCCCTGGTGTCCAGTGTCCATCTGCTATGGTGGCAGTGTTCCAGGGAGGGTGGGAAGAGAGCAAGGCAGAGACAGAGGGGAAGGCTGTGGCCTGAAGACTAAGGATTCAGGAAGAAGCTTGGAGGCAGCGTCAGAGGATGACCTAGGCAATGATCCCTCTGCCCACGGTCTCAGTATGGCTCCTTTCCAGCTACAACCAAACAGGAACTTGGGCCTTTCTTGATGTGAATGTTTTCTGCTATGTTTTGAATGTTTGTCCCCTCCAAACCTCACGTGGAAATTCAGTCCCAGAGTTGGAGGTGGGGCCTAACTCGAGGTATCTGGGTTATGGGAGTGGCTTCCTCACGAATAGATTAACACCCTCTCTGGGGAGTTGGGGGTGAGTGACTTCTCACTCTGTTAGTTCCCCTGAGAGCTGGCACCTCCCTCCCCTCTCTCTTTTGCTTCTTCTCTTGCTCTGTCATCTCTGCACACACTGGCTGCCCTTCCCCTTCCACTATGAATGGAAGCAGCCTGAGGCCTCACCAGAAGCAGATGCTGCAGCCATGCCTCTTGTTCATCCTGCAGAACCGTGAGCCAAATAAACCTCTTTTCTTTGTAAGTTACTCAGCCTCAGATATTCTTTTATAGCAACACAGACAGATTAAAGCATTCTCCTAGCTGGTGGACTCCCTGAGGCAGGGACTGCAGTGATGCTTCTTTGCATACTCAAGCATTGAGTGCCATCACTATACCAGGCACTGATGTAGGCACTAGGGACTCCCTGCCTGGTCTTGGTAAATGAACACATGAATGCCCGCTTGCCAAAAACCCTTTGAAGAAGAGTTGTGGGCATGATCCTTGACAGGAGCCTGCCTGGGGTTTAGGCTCTGCTACTAACTAGCTGTGTGACCTTAGGAAACTTAAGCTAAGACATGCCCAGGTCAGGAAACTTAGACCATGACCTTGGGCAGGGTGGGTGGCCAGGCTGGTCAAAGGCAGGCAAGGCAGGACTTACAATTCAGCATGAGCTAAACCCTGAAAGAAGACAAGAAGGGTTCTGGCCTAGGCTGAGGAGACCCAAGGAGCAGGAGGTGGATGGAGGAGCGCAGAGGCAGAACTGGAAGACAAGCTCCCCTCTTGGCTGAACTGTCCCCCAGTGGCAGCAGAAGCCCCAACAGCACTGCCGGCCCAAGCCCAAGGTGCTGCAGGTCTTGGGGGCATTCAGTTACCCATCACATGTGTCACTGCAGCTGAGTCTGGGGACCTGGGAGGACCAGCAGGTGCCTGCCCTCAGTGTCTGGACAGACGAGTGGCTCCTAACCTTGGGAGGAAGCCTCTGGGAAACAGGGGCAGGATCAGAACAGAGTCCCCCCAGGCACCACTGTGCCAGCCTATGACCATGTAGGTGAACTTTCCTTCCTGAAATGCCAGCGCTGTGGGTAGTGAACAAGCAATGCTTCTTTGCGTATGCTCTTGATGGCTTTTGTCAGGAATTCCAAACCTGTCCTGGGACCCCGGAGCAGCTGGAGGCCTGGAACTGGGGGTGTAGGCTCTCCACTGTCCTGCACACCTAGGTCCACCTACCCTGCATTGTCTGGGCTCTTGCCTTCTTGCTCCTGCTCCATCTCCTCATTCCATTTTCCCCTTTTCTTCAGGCCAGGAAGCCTTGGGTGCCATCAAAAGATGTTTAGGTTTCAGACAGTTCTCTAAAGTCTTTGATTTGCCCCGGGAATGAACCTCGGGCTGGAAGACTGACCTGGAATTTTGGCCGGGGAACCACTGTAGGTAAATGACTTCTCCACTCAGCCTCAGTTTTCTCATTTGTAAAATGAGGGCTCAGATTTAATTATTTTCTTTATTGCCCTTTAAAAAATTCATGTTTGTTGCATCAATTATTAGTCTATGACCTATAGATTATATATAATCTGTAACAAAAAATGTATTAATGAACAAAAGTCCAAGATAAACATTGCCCATGATCTAGTCTGTGAAATGGCATCAATATTTGTGTTGGTTTCTGACATCTTCCAGCTCTTATCTAGGTTCATATTCAGTTTTAATGGATTTACGGTAATATCACACATGGGAATTGATATTTAACATTGTCAGTCAACATTTTACCCTAAGCATTGCTTTTCCTTCTCTTTTTCCTACCTCCATGTTTTTTCCCTGCTCTCATCTGCTGAGGTAGCCAATGTTAATACTTGGGTTTGCATTCATATATAAATAGAGTACACATGCAAAGAATTTGCATTTGGTGAGAGGAGTCATTTTTTGTTTTATAAAACTGGGATCACTCTTTATATATTTCTCTGCAACTTGCTTTTCTCATTTAACAATATGTTGTGGAAATCCATCCAGACTGAGAGATAGACTGCTAACTAGTTCTTTTTGAATAGGTAGGCGTAATTCCATGGTATGGTTGAAGGTATTACAGTTTATTCAATCATTTCCTGATTGATGAGGACTTGGGCTGTTTGCATTTCCCCCCTCCACCACCACACTAAAAACAATTCTTCTGTTGAAGAAAAGAGTCAAACTCTGTAAAATATTTGAAGAGATTTATTCTGAGCCAAATAGGAGTGACCATGGCCTGAGGCACAGTCTTAAGAGGTCCTAAGAACACGCACCCAAGGTGGTTGGGCTGCAGCTTTGTTTTATACGTTTTAGGGGGACATGAGACATCAGTGACTTATGTAAGTAAGAAAGTGAGACTGAACCAAGGTGCACATTGGTTCAATCTGGAAGGGTGGGACAATTTGAAATATGGCGGTCACAGGTGGATTCAAAGATTTTCTGATTGACAATTGGTTGAAGAGTCATTATTATCAAAAGACGTGGAATCAGTAGAAGGGAGTGTCTGGGTTAAAATGAGACGGTGTAAAGACCAAGGTTCTTATTATGCAGATGAAGCCTCCAGGTACAGGCTTCAGAGAGAATAGATTATAAGTTTTTCTTATCAGACTTAAAAAGGTGCGAGACTCTTAACTGATTTTCTCCTGGATCAGGGAAAAGACCTGGAATAGGAAGAGGATTCTCTACAGAATGTAGATTTTCCCCACAAGAGACAGCTTTCCAGGGCCATTTCTGAAACATATTTGCAGGGCCAATATATATAAAAGAAATGTATTTTGCTGTAAAATAGTTCAGTTTCTTTCAGGGCCTGCTACCTGTCATGTGATGCTATACTAGAGTCAGGTTGGAATTTGCTACAAATTTGTCTTATTGCTACAAAGAGTCTGTTTTTTCAGTCTTAAGAGCTCTGTTAAGACTGTTTTAATGTTTTTTGTTAAATATTAATGCTGGTCAGCTGTGCCTGAATTCCTAAGGGAGGAGGGATATGGAGGCATGTCCTACCCCTACTTCCCATCATGGCCTGAACTAGGTTTCTTTGGAATGCCCTTGGCTGAGAAGGAGGTCCATTCAGTCAACTGGGGGGCTTAGAATTTTATCTTTCATTTACATTTCCATAAACGCTTCATAATTCACATCTACACAGATAATGGGTCAGGGCAGCCCTCTCTCCACAGCCTCACCAGCACTCATAGTTAGCAGTCTTTTTAATGGGTACCAACCAGTCTGATGGATGAGAAATGGCATCTCAGCGTGACTTTAATTGGCATTTTCCTATTTACTAGTAAGCATCTTTCCATTGGCTATGAATTTGTTCTTAATTTGAGTTTGTGAGGCAGAATAGCACAGATGTGAAGCGTATTTGTTGGCTCTTTAGGGTTCTCGTTCTGTCAACTGCTATTCCTATGCTTTGGCTGTTTTTTCTGCTGGGTTTGTCTTTGCACCATGAATGTGCTGGAGCTCAGTGCAGAGTATTAACTTGCCTTCTGTCATACATTTTGCACATATACTTTCCTAGTCTATCATGTGTCTTTTGACTTATTAGGGTATTTGTTTTCATACAGATTTTTTTCTTCACTTTATGTAGTCAGACATGTTTATCTTTTTTTAATGGCTTTTCAGTTCTCCATTTTGTTTTTAAAATCTCCTCAACACATAAGCTATATTCCTAAGCTTCCTTCGATTTTTTCCTTTTAATTTCTCTCATTTAAACATATAACCTTTCTGGAATTTACTTTTTGTCAAATTAAGGTTGGCTCAGACAGGTGTGATGGCTCATGCCTGTAATCCCAGTGCTTTAGGAGGCCAAGACGGGAGGATTGCCTGAGGCCAGGAGTTCGAGACCAGGCTGGGCAACATAGTGAGACCTCTATCTCTATGAAATTTTTTTAAATTAGCTGAGCCTGGTGGCACATGCCTGTAGCTGAGACAGGAGGATTGCTTGAGCCCAGAAGGCCAAGGTTACAGTGAGCTATGATCACACCACTGCACTCCAGCCTGGGCAACACAGCAAAGCCCTGTCTCTAAAATAACAAACAAAAGTTAAGATACGCTACAGTGTTCTTTCTTCCATGCAGATAGCCAAATTCAGCACTTCCTGTCTACACTCTCAGACCCTGTGGGCCCCCAACACGTGCCTGGGAGGTGGCTACCAAATTCGGGGCTAGGAGGTCTGGGGAAGTGGTACAGATGCCCCTTCCCCCAGCCATGGAGATATTCTACTTTTGTTGTTTTACAAAATAGGCTTCCAGTAAAGATTTGGTTTGGACAAAGTGTTCTGAAGCTGAAGGAATTTTGAAAATCCCTTTCAGATGATCTCTGGGGGCCCTTCCAGGTTTGACATTCTCTGACTCAGTAATGCCTAGGACGGCAACTGCTTATTAAGGAAGAGAAGGCAATGGGTCGGTGTATCTTTATCCAAAAGTAATTTCAATATTGAATCCCAGGTTGGCTCAAAGCGGATATTGGAATCACAGCATTTTAGAGGTGGAAGGGACCTAGGAAATCCTCTAGTCTAGTGCCTCTCAATCCTGGCTGCCTTTAGAATCACCTGGGAGTTTATTAAAAAGTCCCGGTGCCCTGGACTGATGCCAGACCACATAAATCAGAGTCCTGGGGGGAAGGGAAGGGTCTAGGCATGAGTCGTTTTAAAAATTTCCTCATGATTCTAATATGCAGCTAGGGCTGAGAACCACTTCGCTAGTTCAACTCCCTTATTTCATTAGTAAGTCAGCTGAAGCCCAGAAAAGGTTAGCCTCGTATGACACAGCTGGCGAACTGTAGAGCTGGGACTAGAACCCAGATCCCTGCCTTCTGCGTTGGCTTTTTCATCGACACCAAATGCCTCATCAAGCACCACTCCTTGGATTTTTAGCTGGCAACACTGAAGTCCCTGTATGAATGTTTTGTATCTTTGTATATGATCAGCTTAAAAGTATTCACTGCACGCAATTCTGTGCATCCTAGACAAATAGACTTAGTTCTACCTTGCAGGACCATCGTGGAGAACAGGGTCATAAAGAACAAACTACGATAACAGAGCAGGACATTTGGTACATGCACGCGAAAGAGCCTGCTGCGGGGAGGGCGTGCAGAAGTAGGAAGGGTGAGTTCCCAGGGAGGTCAAGGAGGCTGCACACAGGAGGTAGCATCTGAATTGAGCCTAATGGGTGATTTAAGAGGCCTCTGATGGACAGAGCATCGATGCTGCACTCTTGCCCAGAGCAGTGATTGGCTGCCTGATTTTTACACAGGGGCTCAAAAGGGCGGGGGTAGGAGCAGCAAGATTTCAGGGCAGAAATGCTTTAGTGTCAGGCAGGGCGGGGACCCAGCCTGCCTCAGGCGCTCTGATCTCCCTCTGCTCTGCCCGCAGGAATGAGACCGTGCTGCACCAGTTCTGCTGCCCAGCCGCCGACGCCTGCTCCGACCTGGCCTCCCAAAGGTGGGAACTGTGGCCCTTCCTCCCTTCCGCATCCCCACCTTCCTTCCTGTTACAACAAAGCACGTACCACTGCACTAGCTATTGGGCCTCCTCCTCTTGAGTCTCATGTGGGGTAATTTGTTTGCTTTCACCTCCTTCCTCAGACTTCAGTTTCTCTCTGCTCCCTCTGGACCCCAAATGAGCCGTTCCCAACTTTTAAGGTGATTATGCCCTGTCGATCACACCCCACACGTAGGCTCCTTCCTTCTAAACGGCCCATGTAAAATCTAACTTTTGTAAGCAGCCGGGAAAGTTGATTTGATTGGGGATATTCGTGTCTCTCACACGGTAGGGTGCCTGGCACACAGTGGTGTGCGCTCAGCCCATGCCCAGTGCCCAGCCTTCCTCTTACATCAAGGATTTATACTTTTCTTTCTGGTTTCTCTTCTTCCAGTCAGCCGAGGTGCCTGTCTTTAATGTTAAGGCTCTCTCAGCCCTGGCTGCTTTAGTTGACAGCCTCGGACTGGAGCGGGAGTGTTGAGGAGTCAGGTTTCAGAGCCACAGTCCTGAGCTTTCTCCTCTGTTTTTTCCTGGGTTATCCTCCTGCCCTCTGCCTCCCTGTCCCGCTTCCTGGAGTTCCGTCTCCGTCCCGTGATCAGCCTTCTCCCTCCGCATCTGCCTCTGTCTCTCTGCCCTTGTGTTTCTCGTTTCTCCTCTTCTGTGCCCACGTCGTGCTCCCCACCCGCCCCCCGATCTGTGTTCTGTCAATCTCTCTCTCACTCTTTTCTCTTTTCCACCAGTTTGTCTGTCTCCATTCTGCACGTTTCTCTTTTCTTGACTTGTTCTTTACTCCACTTGGATTCTGGCCTGAAATTTGCCCAGTCTCTCAGTCTCCTGTTATGGAGTGAATTTGGGCAAGTTACTCCACTGCCCTGGGCCTCAGTTTCCTCATCTGGATAGTGAAGGGCTTGGTCTGTCTCAAAAGTGGCATTCACCTATCATCCCGTCGAGTCTCTGAGCTGCTCAGTGGGGCCAGACTGGGCAGGTCTTCTTGTCCCTGAAGGATGAGAGGAGAGTAAGGGTCGGAGGACCCAGAGACTTGTCCACAGTCACAGAGCAAGGACCAGTGCAGCCACAGGAAGCTTAGGGCGCCGGACTCCTCATGCTCACCATTTTCAGGTTTAAGATCCAATGATTCTGTGATCTTTCCCCCTTTATCCTCTGGAAAATAACTGGACAGTGATCAGAAGTGGTGGCTAGTGATCTTGGGGCACAGACAGCCACCCCGTGAAAGGCATTGCTGTTCATTTTGCCTCATAGGGGAGCCAGCAGAGGTCAGAGAAAGAGGCGGGGCTCTGAGGAGGACTCGGAGAGGCCACACACCCAAGAGGCCCTTAAATCCAGGGCTGAGGGAGGGATGGGAGTTACTGAAGCCAACCATGTTGGAGATGGGAGGCTGATGTTTTCGGTGTCCTCTGTGACAAGTTTTGGGCCAGGCCTGGGGACATAAAAGCACATAAGGCCAACTTGGACCCTTGAGAAGTTCCCCATGCAGTGGGACATCAGGATACCCTCAAAAGAAAAACTGCTCACCTGCAAATTAGAAGGAAGAAGAGAAATGGGAGAATGAAACGGTGGAGGGAGAAGGAAAGAGGAGAGCGTGGAGATGTGGAAGACACCAGGATGTTGTAGAGGAAGACCCTGAGTTCCCTGGCCCCTCCCCATAAGCCCTCACTGTTCAGACACAGGGCCCGAGTCTTCTTCCTAGAAACTGCCTTCCTTGGTAGAAGAGAGAAAAGCTGTCTGGCCTGCCTCCAGCTCCATCAATTCAACTCAATTCAGTGAGCATTTTATTGATACTAACCAAGCACCAGGCCTCAGTGAGGATGGATAACACACCCTTGAGAAGCCCAGGCCTGGCAGGGGCGGGCACCAGAGACTATCCCTTGGGCTTCCTGTGGTCTCTCCTCCCATCCACTCTCAGCCTGCAAGCTCGCTCACACACCAGCACTCCCCTGCTGCCTGTGTCGTGCCCACCTGCAGCCCTAGCTCCAGGTGGGAAGGAGTGGGAGAGAGGCGGCCCCAGCAGCACGCCAGAATGTAGGTAGATGTGGGGCAGGGGAGGGGTGCTGCCCTCTCAAGGGGCTGGAGCTCCAAGGGAATAGGGTTATTTTCCAGGGTTTGAGGTGGATGATAGGAAACCCATGACCTTAGTTTCCAAGAGGTTTGTTCTTCAGCTTGTTGTTCACCTTCCCCTGGGAGGTGCGGGCTTTGAGGTTGGGGACAGGAGGTGCTCCGGGGAGGGAGTGTGGGAGTTGGGATATTCTCTTGAATGTTGGTTCATGGAGGCGCCTATACACCCTGCTTACGGGGGCCCTCCCCCTGGCTGGGGACAGGGAGGACTTGCCCCCTGAGATGGTCCAGGGCTTCAGCTGCTGTCTCTAGTTCCCAGTTACTCCAAGTTGTCCTGTCTATCTGTCTGATTTGTAGTTTCCTAGAGCCTGTTTTTGTCTGTCTGTCTGTCTGTCTGATGTGGCTTTCCTGGCTTCTCCGAGAGGAGACCCTCTGGATGTTTTCTGGGCAGCCCAACAGTGTACGTGTTTGCTCTTGGCTTCTTGGGGGAATTCTATGCTAAGATAAGTTTTCCCTGATCAGACTCTCAGCATCCCTGCTCCTAACCCTACCAACGATTCCTTCACCAAACCTCATCCCTTCCCCTAGCCCAGCTGTCCCACCTCCAGAGCATAGCCACAACTTCCCAGTAAGCTCCTCTAGTGGAATGTGTCACAGTCAGAGGCCAGCCTGTGGGGCTGGCACAGGCGGGTAGGTCACACAGCCCTCTGAGGAGATCTGGTATGGACTCTGGAGCTCTGAGACAAGCCAGGCTCCTCCCCCATCAGTCTGGCTCCTCCCCCATCAGTCTGGCTCCTCCCCCGTCAGTCTGGCTCCTCCCCCATCAGTCTGGCTCCTCCCCGTCAGTCTGGCTCCTCCCCCGTCAGTCTGGCTCCTCCCCCATCAGTCTGGCTCCTCCCCTGTCAGTCAGTCTGGTTTCCCGCTAGCTCAGCCAGTAGGAATCATGGCCTCCTGAGGATTTCTGGGATCAGCAGTTGGCCTCCATAGGAGACCCCAGTAAGGAATCCAAAGTCAGTGAATCAGGTGTCAGGACCTTTGTTGTGTGGACTCAGCCAGCCACAGGATCTCCCTGGCCATCCTCCTCTGCAGTCTGGCTAAGGCCGGCCCCCACTCCAGCTCCGGGGCTGAGCAAGGGTCCCTTTCCTGAGCAAGTGCCTTCACTGCAGCACTGCAGTGGCTGCTCATCTATCTGATCAGAGATGTGGAGATGCTGCTCAGCCCAGAGGAAAGTCTGCTCCCTCCCAGAAAGACCCAGGGCCAGAACAGAGCCTCACCCCTCCCGAAGAGGCAGAGAAGCCTCAGCCCTACCGAGGCCAGGACAGCCTTCCCCAGCCACCTGCAGAGGAGCAGCTGGGGGCTGGTGTCAGGGGAACTCTGTCTTGGGGCTGGGAGCCGGACAGGGAGTGATTCTCCCAGGAGTGGGAACACCTGAAATTGAGCACATCTGGAAGCGTGGGTGTCTGCAAAGGGAGGCTGAAGGGAGGGCGTCAGCGATCTGGAGTACAGTGGAGCAGCTACGGGGCTGGCAAAGCCCTGAAAGCCCTGCGAAGCTGGATAACCAGATAGAGTTATTATGGGTTCTGCTGTGCCCTGGTTCCCCAAACCCCCCTAGGAAGGCAATGTATGTCTGCCAGGGTAGTTAGGCCCTCAGGTGGGAGCTGGGGGTGGTGCCTCCTCCCAGCAGCCAGCCAGGAAGCAGCAACTGCGTGCCAGGCTCTTTCTCCCCAGAAAAGATCGCCCCCTGGTCGTTGCCCCTACCGACCGCCTCCCTGCTGCCAGCTAATGACAGGGCTTTATTCTGGGGCGCTGAATATGCCAGTAATTGCAGCCCTACTTTCGATCCTGCCGCCTCCCTTCCCTTTCAGGCTCTCAGTGACAATGACCCGGTAGCTGGCCAGCTGCCTCCCAGCATAGAGCCCATTTGTCTCAAGGGTGATAATGGGGCCAAGATGAGGAAGGTGGGCCTCTATTAGAGTAATGGGAGGAGGCGGCTGTGGGAGAGGGTGGGGCTCAGGAGAAGGAGGTGGGCTTAGGAGGGGAGGTGGAGTTCAGGATGGGGAGGCAGGGCTCAGAAGACGAAGTGGGGCTCAAGATGGAGAAGGTTGGCTCAGGAGGGGAGGCGGGGCTCAGGCAGGAGAGGCGGGGCTCAGGAGGGGAGGCGGGGCTCGGGGGGTAGGTGGGGGCTCAGGAGGGGAGGTGGGACTCAGGAGGGAGAGGTGGAGTTCGGTGGGGAGGCAGGGCTCAGGGGGAGGTGGGGGCTCAGGAGGGGAGGTGGGGCTCAGGAGGGAGAGGTGGAGTTCAGGGGGGAGGCGGGGCTCAGGAGGGAGAGGTGGAGTTCGGTGGGGAGGCAGGGCTCAGGGGTAGGTGGGGGCTCAGGAGGGGAGGTGGGACTCAGGAGGGAGAGGTGGAGTTCGGGGGGAGGCAGGGCTGGGGGGAGGTGGGGCTCAGGAGGGGAGGCGGGGCTCAGGCAGGAGACGTGGGACTCAGGTGGGGAGGCAGGACTCAGGAGGGAGAGGTGGAGTTCATGAGGGGAGGCGGCTCGGGAGGGGAGGCGGGGGCTCGGGAGGGGAGGCGGGGCTCAGGAGGGGGAAGTGCTAGGCAGGAAACAGAACAACCCCTAGGCCTCCAGAGCAAGAAGGGATCTGGGTAGGGGTCTAAGGGGCACTCTGAGCCTCTGCTAACTGAACTGACTCACTGCTGGTCCTTGCTTCTTCCTTCTCAACCACCCCATCCTTACTCCAAGATGGAAGACATAGTGAACACATTATTTATTGAACGTGCCAGGGACAACGTGCTGGGCACTCTTGATATTTTATCTCACGTAATTCTGTGAGATAGATGTTATTCCCATTTACAGATAAGGAATCCAGGATGGAGAGAAGTTAGGTATCTTGGCCGAGGGACCACTGCTAATTATTTCTGGAGCTGGACAGTGAACCCAGGTCCAACTCCTACACACAACGTCTTTTCAAAGAGCTGCTGCTAGAATTTTTTTTAAGCGCTCAAGAGAAATCCTCCCATCCATTTCACTGGATCTTAAATAACATCTATTTCCTCTGATTATAAGTCATACACGCTAGTTGTTGGAAATGTGGAAAATACAAAATATAAAGAAGAAAATATAAATGGGACTTCATCATGTAGAATTAACTGATGTTAATATTTTAGTGTGCAGCCTCCCAGTGTTTTATTTTTCTCTGCGTTGGGTTTTACGTCCTTCCCACGCCCATTTTAAAAAAAAAAGATTTTGTAGTCTGCATTTCCCACTTGGCGAGGCGTACTGCGCCCCCTTAGAGGCCTCCTACCCTAACCACTTCCTCCCGGGCCGCCCGCCCTGGTGGCCCACGTGGCTGGCGTCGTTGCCGCTAGGCAGCAGCAAGGCAGGGGCTCTGCCGAGGCCGCCACGCGGGGTACCCTGGAGGACGGGGCGCGCTTCCGAGAACGGCTGCGGGGATAGCCCTGCATTGGCATAGCTGGGGCATTTCTGCCTCTCCTGCCTCTTTCCATCGGCTGTGATGGGGCCTGAAACATGAGCAATGGACCAGCCAGTGTTTACCCAGCGATTACGGAGCAATTAAATTCTCAGTCGATACAGTTACGTCTTCAAACAGCTGGGCTGGGGCGCCGCGGCCTCACGTGCCTGCTCCGGGAGTCGCATCCAGGCTGCTGAGAAACCGGCACCACGCACTGGTGGCTTAGGGCGGCAGCGTGGGTCGGTCGGGCGGTACAGCCGCGTCCTCTTTCCCTAGAAAAGGGCAGAAAAGCCCTCGGCTTCCCCCACAGGCCCCATGGGGCAGGCCCACCCTGCCTGCCTGGCCCCAAGCTCTGGGTCTCTGCCTCCCGCCCCAGGAAAGCGATGGCGGCAGGGGAGGTTAAAGGAAGTGTTCTTTGTCTCCTTCATGGTTCACTGGTTGGTTGGGAGAGGTCTTTGGAGAGGTTGGGATGGGGTGAAAATCCCCACAAGCCCCCTGCAGTGGCGGGAGCATCTTGCCCGCTGGCAGGGGCAGGGTGGGGGCGGGAATCCTGGGGTTTGAAGCCTGGGCTCTGGGGTGGGACAGAGTGGCACCTGCACAGAGGGGAGCATCCTGGGGACAGGGGGCTTGCTCCTGTGGATTGGGCTTTGAGAGCAGGTGTGCTCCTGGGTGATCTGAGGAGCTGTGTAGTTAGAGCAGAATCCAGCCGACCTGGGCTCCATGCCCAGGAAGATGGCCGAATTCCGACGTGGAGCTACAGGAATCTGCCCTAGGGAACTGTGTGACCTGTCACTTTACCACCCTGTGCATTTTTGTCTCATTTGTCCTGAATCGCCAGATTCAGGAGGCATAAAAACCAAAATAGAGGTCAAAGTACTTTGACACTTTGGGAGGGCGTATTAAAATATCCCAGAGAGTATTAGGAAGGTTTTGTCTTGTCATTGAGTTTTGACTTTCTGTCCAGAGGGCTCTCCTCAGCAGGGATGTGAAACTCCTGTTTGGAGTCAGCTATTTGCCCAGGCCAATTTCCTTGTGTAATTTTCCCTGCCAGGCCTTGAGCATCCTCTGAGACTGGCCCCTTCATGTGACCTAGGCTGTCGCCAGAGGGTGCTTGGGAAACCTGTTGGTGCTTGGGCTGCCCTCAAATTGCTGCTCGTTAAGGCACGCAACTTTTTGTCAGCAGCATGTTTAGAGATGATTGGAGGAGAAGTCCTGCTAACTCTGTGTCGGTTTTGTGTCTCCCACCCATGAGAGAGAGGAAGCAAATACTAGCCACCATGTCCTGAGTGCTTGCTATGTGCTATGCAAGAATTATCTTGTTTAACCCCTAATAGAAGCTGGTGAAATATTATTCCCATTTTACAGACAAGGAAACTGAGGATCAGAGACAACGAATGCCTTGAGCATGGTCCATGTGGCTGATGAAGAGCAGAGCTAGGTTTTGAACCAGGTGCTTGTCAGTTGCAGCCTGTAACCACCAGGGCAGGAGGATAGCAGAAGGCAGGTGTTGTCAAGTATGGGAAGCGAAAGTGAGGCAGGAAGGTGAACAGCTGCTTCCCATGTCCCCAGCCACAGCCAGCGGGTGGCTGAGAGCACATAGGTTATTGTTCAGGGCCTCAAAAGGCCTGGCCTCTCTTCCCTGCCCCTCCGCCCTGCCCCTTGAGGCCATGTGTGGACTCCAGAGGAGTGACGCAGAGAATATTTTTAGGGACAGAAACAGCAACAACAGCAATGCTAGGCTTTATTAGTTAAGGAAATACCCCTAACTAAAGATAATACTTCCAGAACAAGTGAGAGATGCCACGAGGAACATCTAAGCTTTCTCTAGTCCAGGGTATTCGGTAATGCAGTTTTATCCAGTTTTCTGGGAAATATGTTCTTGTTTCATTTACTGGAAGCTTCTTGTTGGAATCTTTTGTATCTTCTTTTCTCACTTCCAGGAAGAGTAACCTTTGTAGGCGTAGAGATTTTTCTAATCCCACTATTTCTTGTGCTTTGTTTTATTTTCTCTTCTGAAAGTTCTTTACCCATTCACTTATCTTCTGACCAATAACATGACCATAAAAATGATTTTGTATCTGTTTGTATGACAAAAAGGGTTTTTAATTTGTTTCATCAAACCAAAAACGAAGAAATAATCTATAGCAAGAGTGATTTGATCAGATATGGCATTCTTAAGACATTTTACTGCCCTCAAGAGACCATGGAATGGCTTAAGAAACGAGGTTTTTAGAGATTTCTTTTATTATGATTAAAAAAACAAAACAGGAAGGACAGCTGCCTATGAAGAAAGACTGGAGTGTGTTGCTGTCTCCAGCAGGGACACTTTCCATAATTCCTTTAGCACCCTCAAGTTAAAGTGGCTCCCATTGTCTGAATCAGTATTTTCTACCAGGCCAAATCTGGGTATAATTTGTTCTAAGATTATTTTGACCACATCCCCGGCAGTGGCAGCTGGGAGGGGAAGGCCTCCACCCTGGAGAGGTGGTCTACCATTACCAGCAGATACGTTAGTCTCCCTATTTTGGACATTTCTGTAAAATCTACTTGAATGCTTTGAAATGGCCTTAACCCAGGAGGTTTCCCTCCGGTAGTCTGTTTTCTTTTTTTTTTTTTTTTTTTTTTTTTGAGACGGAGTCTTGCTCTGTGGCTCAGGCTGGGGTGCAGTGGCACAATCTCGGCTCACTGCAAGCTCCGCCTCCCGGGTTCACGCCATTCTCCTGCCTCAGCCTCCCGAGTAGCTGGGACTACAGGTGCCCGCCACCGTGCCCGGCTAATTTTTTTGTATTTTTAGTAGAGACGGGGTTTCACTGTGTTAGCCAGGATGGTCTCGATCTCCTGACCTCGTGATCCGCCCACCTCGGCCTCCCAAAGTGCTGGGATTACAGGCGTGAGCCACCGCGCCCGGCCGGTAGTCTGTTTTCTAACTACCTTTTTGTTTATTCTCTGGCAGGTCACATAACACCCACACACTTGTTTAACAAGGGTGTAGATCCCTATACACCCGTAATTCTTGAGTATTGCATCACACATGGCCTGGGGACCCCAGTGACCTCCCTTACAGAGTATGGATATCAGTTCTCTCCTTGTGAGTTTGCTTATCATTTCGGTCCCATCAGGGAGCACCCACCTCCCATCCTCAGTTTGAGTGGCCCTATCTTGCCCAGCTCTTCCTCCTCCTCTTCAGAAAGTTGGGGTTTTAATACCACCTTAGGGATATCTGGGATTAGGCCAAATAGTTTAACTTCTACCTCCAGGGAGGCTGCTTAGCAGCTTTATCCACAAGCCTGTTCCCTAACCCTAACCCTAACCCTAACCCTAACCCTAGCTTCTATAGAGTTTCCTTTCTGATGGCCGTTTACATGAACTATGGCTACCTCTGCTGGAAGCAGGAGGCTTTTTAAAACTTGTTTGACCAGTTTCCCATATACCAATTCTTTCTACCTGCTATTTATTAGGCTCCACTTTGTCCAGATCTTTCCAAAGGTGTGTACTACTCCATAGGCATATCTGGAAATAGCATATACAGTGCCTTCTTGGCCTTATATGAGCTTCAGGGCTTGGTTAAGAGCATGTAATTCACAGGTTTGGGCTGAGCAGTTATTGGGTAATCTACCTTTTTCTCATAAGGTTTGTTTGTTTCCATCAATGACAGCCTGGACATTGTGTCTTTTACCATCTATCACTCAGGATGGCCTATTCACAAACAGCCTCATTCCATCGAGTAGTGGAATTTCTTTAAGGTCTGGTCTAACTTTGGTTTGATATTCTATCATATGTAAACAGTTATGGTCTGATACCTGCTTATTCTCCTCTCATTTCCGTAAGAAACTGACTGGAGTTCATTTAGGCGCCTTTCCAGGGCCCACTGACCCCAGGAGGAACTTGAGGAGGCAAGGGGCTGACCAGCTGGCCTTTCAGGGTGTCTTTAGCCGGGCTCTGCCGGGTCTGGCTCTGGGCCAACAGCTGCTGGTTTGAAGAGCTGCCAGCCTGTGGTGCCTTCCCTGATGGGCACTCTCATCAGCAAAGGCATCCCTGGCTCCTTCTTTGCTTTGAAGGCACCATCCGTCTCCCTGGCAGGCCGAGAGCTGCACTGTTTGTATTCCACGCCACCCCTGCTGGTGACCCAGCAACTGCAAAGGGTCCCAGGTTTGTCCCGCTCTGGGAGGGGACTTGGTGGCTTTTCGTCAGCTGCAAGGGTCGCCCCTTGGCCCAGCCCAGCTCTGGGAAACAGAACTTTTATACACCCCACCTCAAAGCATCCTGGCGGACTTCTCCCCAGCACGCGCTCTCTCTACTTCAGGGATTGCAAACTGGCATTTTCTATCACCTGTATTGGGTTATTAAGTTTTTTTAACTGATCACCAGCATTTAAAAATCCTGTTTCACATAAAAAGTCAGAATTCTGGCCTCTGACAAAGCAGACAGTCTGGCAACACAGGGCTGGCACTGTGAGAACAGTCGAGCAGCTGCAGAGGTGTGCCCTCTTCAGTTAGCCACAGTCCCCATCCAGCCCTGCAGCCCTCCTTCTCACCATTTGCTGGCCGTGTTGTCCTTTGAGTTTATAACCCTAGTTCGGATCTTCCTTATGTAGCCCCCCGGCCTCTCTGCAGCCTTACTGACGGCTGCCCCTGGTGGACTCACAGCCTCTCAGTGAAACAGCAGCAAACCTTAATGCTCATCTCATCCACTCACCCTTCCACATCCTGAACCCTTTCTACACCCTCCTGACAAACAGCCATCTAGTCTTTGCCGTACGCAACCCACTATTCCTCAGGCAGCCTGATCCTAAACTCTCCTCCACATCCCCTTCTCACTTGCATCCCCCAGTTCCCGGACCCTGTCCCTCCTCAGTGGCCGCACTGCACCCTTTCCCAGCACCTCCTTGTTGCTTGAGCCTCTAGAACCTTCCCCCAGCCCTGCCAACCTCTCCACATCCTCTCACTTCCTCTTGTACTCTTTCTTCCTTTTGCATTATTTTTCTCCCCAGTCTTAACTTTGGTGTCTCTCTTTGATCTGTCTTTTCCAGTCTCTTGCTCTCGCTCGTTTTCTTTTTCTATCTATCTCTATCATCCTGTTTCCTTTTTCCCTCACACTTAGTTTCTTTCTCTTTCTCTCTCTGGGCACAAGCTAAACTGTGCTGGGCCCTGGCCCCTGACAATCTGCAAAGATGGACAGCTCTGTCGAAACAACAAAGATTCAGCAACAACTTTTATCAACAGCTTTCAGCAGCCAGCTTCCACACACAGTTGTGTGGCCGCCTCTCCCTTGCCTTCAGGGTCAGCAGCTTAACTCTTTCTCTCTCTGGCCCTCTATGTTTGCCATTTCCTCCCCTTTGTCTTTCCAATTTTCTTTTTTACTTTTTCTCTTTCTCCCTTTTCCAGTTTCTCTTTTCTTTCTTCTTACAAAAACCTTCTGAGCTTCCCTCAGTAATTCCTTAATCGGTTTTTCATTCCACCTATCAATCTTTTGCAGTTTCTTAGTAATATCAGGCCAGCTTTTGTCACAGAACTAAGTCCTAAAAGGCCTTGCCCTACTGGGTGCTCTGGACCTAATCCTGAATATTTTCTTATTTGATCCCTGAGCCTCTGCAGAAATGCGGAGGGAGTCTTCTCTTTTTATTGTTGGATCTCGAATGCTTTCAAGACATTTTGTGTTCTAAGAGTGGACTTTTTAATCCCTTTAATTATTAGTTCCCTTGGGTCCTGCACTGGGGCCTGATCTCTGAGGTTATTGTTATCCCCTCTGGGATTTGCATTTGGGAATTTCTGCTCAGCTGGCAGGACTCCTTACCCGGGAGAATGGGGTCTCTCCCAAATGGTCATGGCTGCCCTTATAATCATTCCCCTCTCTTCCCCAGGAAACAGAATATTTATGATTGACATTATCTTAGCCCAAGTATAAAAATGGGGTCATAAAAATTGATCTAGCTGCTCTGCTAAACCGAGGGGGTCTTCCCAGAGTGGCCTCATTTTCTTTTTAGAATTCTGAACCTCAGTACTTGCTAGAGGCACACTCACAAACCCAACAAACCCAACTCCTCTCTGTCCCGTAGAGACTTCTCTAAGAGGGTACCTGTTAGACATCTGCTGTTTAGAAGGAACGGGGAAATTCTCAATGTCCTTCTTACATTGTTCTAATTCTTTCCTCTAGTTTGGATAAGGATTTAAGGAAGCATTGGGTTTAGCTTCTTCGTGACCCCCCGATTCCTCTTCCTCCGACCTTCTTGCTGCCCCCCGATCGCCCTGTTCTGTTCTTCCTGAGATGTATGGGGGGGCAAGCGTGTTAGGGGATCCCAGGGCTTTTCATTGGGTGAGGGCTTTTTACTATGCTCTTTTTCTTCTTTTTAAAGGGGAACATGGGGGTTAATTCACTAATCCAACAAAGAGCATAACCTGTCTCCTCTCGTGAGGATGGAGTTTTATTATTCACAGAAAATTAAAGCTTGGCACACCCAATCCTCATCTGAGCCAAACTCAGGCCAAAAGACCAAAGGTTGACGAATGGGCTTTTTGGGCCAGATAAAACAACAAACTTTATCATCTTTTGCTTTTCCTTGTCCCTGGTTTGAGGACTATCCCTTCAAACCTGCAGCATTCTCCCCAGCGGACTATTTGGGGGAATGTCAGAAGGGTTCTCTTTAGTTCCCTCTTTCCTCTGTTCTCTAGGCCTAGAATTCTTGTTTCCCATTTTTGGTTAGTCTCTGTGTCTGAGCTTTTCCCTGTGTACTCAGCCTCCCTTACTGGAGGTTTCTTACACACCCCAAGACCTCCGAAAATGCACAACTACCAAGCAGTACTTACAGATCAATTTTCCTACCTTGGCTCATGCGTGAGGTTGCCTGGTTGCCTGCTTTTCTCCCTGTGTCACTTTAGTTGTCTCCTGAATAACAGTTTCAGGTTTGTCTATGGCTTCTTCGGGGAGCTGAGACACCTGGACAGAGTGGGCCACACAAATCGAGTGGGACACATCTCCCCTGTCAGCTGGAGTCTCACTCCATGCAGGCATGGAAATCCCCATATGGGCCACCAGGTTGTGAGAAACAGACTCACCCGTCCAAACCCAAAGAATGGACTCAGAGACCCAGAGAACAGCGAAAGTGAGACTTGTGATGACGGTCTTGCAAAATCGGGTGTCTCTTGAGCAGGCACACCCAGCACAGTTTCAACAAGCAGTTTATCCCCTAGTGCACAGGTCTCTCCCCTGGTTCCTCATAGGCTGAGTATTATGGGTTACAATCTTCCCGGATGATGCCTGTTCATTGCTGGGCAGGGGCTGTAGGTGGTTTTTTAGGGTTGTTTTGCTCCATTTTGTTGCAGCCCACAATGCATTGCAATCCTAGCTAGCTCAGGGGCTCATAAAGTATTTGATTTATGACCGAAGTAGCTGGGCAGGCTGATAAGAACAAACAAAATGAACTATTTTGTAGGCTAGTAAACTTTCATCTTAGACTAAACTTCTTTGGTTCGGGGAGGGCAACTAAGGAGTGGGGAAGTGGGGGGAAGGGGGATGGTGGGGAAGTGGGGGAGGCCGAGAAGCAGGCATCAGCTATCCAAGCAGGGGCCTAGTGTATCCTGTTTCTTCTGTAGTTTGCTGACCTAAGCCAATTCAGGCACTTCATCCTGGAAATGGCCCACTGTATACATTATTTCCTTCAAAGAGCCAGGGGAGTAAGAGAAAGTGTCGTGTGACCTAGAAGCTTGGGATTTGGAAGGGAGCCGAGGGGAAGGGCAGACCCAGGCAGCACCTGGGCTTCCAGAAGAAGCTGGTGCTTCCACCACACTGACCTAGACAAGGCACAAGGCATCCCCCTCTTCTCTGGGCCCCAGCTTCCTCAACCATAGCATGAGGGGTTGCACTGTCTAATCCCCAAGGCCCTCTACCAGGGATTCTGTAAGAAGGCATTCTGCATGGCCAGGGATGGGACCTGCTCATGGAGAGACCCAGGGCAATTGCAAAGCAAAACAAATGGCAGGTGGTGGGGTGCGAATGTTGACCCTCTGGTGAAATGCAGTATTGGAGCAAAAGAGCATGGCAAGGGAAGCCCTCTGTAGGCCTGTGCACTGTTTTTTTTCCTACATTTCACTTATTATTGTAAAAATATTATCATAATATTTTATTATTAATATTTATTATTATTATTTTGAAACAAGGCAGTTTCAAAAAGGAGAAGAATTTCACCCCACTCATAGTCCTGCAGAGGATCGCCTCTCATTGTCCCTCTTCTCCATTCGTCTTGGGCAGTGCGGCCTGGACACTGGGAAGTGCCCCCGGAATGCCACGGGGAACAGCCTGGCCCCCACTTCCTTCCCTCCATGCTGGCAGCTCTTAGCGTTTATCCTGGGCTTGGATGCAGTTTCTTGCACTCCAAGGACAGAAATGATAGGAATGATGAGGGTTTTAACAACCAGCATCGATACTGCATTTTCCGAGTTACAGAACTCCTTCTGTCCTTCTGCTTACTTGATTCTCACCACAAGGATCCTCAGCCTCTGACCTTGTAAACAGTCAGAAGGGCAAGAATCACTGTGTCCATTTTACAGCTGAGGAAATACTCGGAGAAGATAAGCAACTTGTTGAAGGTCACAAAGGTAGAAGCAGGCAGAGGTTAAGACCAGAGCCTATGCAAAGAGAGGGCAACAGTGGAGCAGAGGCTTTAAACCTGCTTCTTCCTTGTTCCTGTTTGAATGTGTCACCTTGCTCACTCCCCAGGTGCCACTGCCACACGGCCTGGTGGGATCTTGGTGTGGTCACCATGTTCCATGTTTATACTGAAGCTTTGAAGTCTTGGAGAATCAATTAGGCTGCCATGAGTCCTCAGATTCCTCAGGAATCGAGGGAACTGACTCATCAGAAACAAACTCATAAGAGACTGACATATCATATTAGTATGAATTTACGAATTTGTAATGAGAAACTGTCCTGATGAACAGGATACTCATGTTTACTGATCACTGAAGAACTTAAAAATAGCGAAGGTCCCTTCCCTCCCCAGGTGCAGAGGAATGAGCACCACATGGTTTTGTGGATTCCTTTCTAGCTTGGAAAGAGAAAGAGAGAGGCGAGGAAGTGGCAAAGGAGTTCCCTGGACTAGAAGATAAATTCAGAACTTCAGGGAATCACTGTAATGTGTGGCACTTGAAAGCATAAACCAGATAATTCAAATCTAGGTTCAGGTCCTGGCTTGGCCACTCACAAACTCTATGACCTTGGTTAAATTCCATAAGCTTTCCAACCTTGAGTTAACTCATCTGTAAAAGGAGCATAGCACTTAACTTCTTAGGGTGTTTGGCAGGATTAAATGTGATAATGCCTGGAAAGGTGTCCAGCATCTAGTAAGGACTGCATACGTGCTAGCTATGTTAAAGCTGGATTTTCGAGGGCAGAGAGGGAGAACTCAAACAAGATTTAAGGTCTAGAAATTCAGATATGACTAGGGAATGTTTAGAAAGTACAGGCCACATGCTTCATGTGATGAGCCTCTGCTATGGCAAGCATGTTCTTCAGGTTCCAAGCATGTTGTTCAGACACACCTCAGGGACCTGAACAACATGCTTGCCATACCAGGGGCTCTGGCAAGGTCTAGTCCGTCCCATGGGATAGCAGGTGTTGGGCGTGGAGAAGAGGCAGTCTTTCAGATGTTTCTGTTCAGGCCCAGCTCCTGACATGGAGTGGTGGCAGGATAGAGCCGAATATTCAAAAAGAGAGAAAGAGAGAGACTCTGAGAACTGAAGGACAAATTTGGGGAAGAGATCAAAGAAGCTAAAGACCCGGATGAATGTCAATCAAGTAGGGCCAACAGGCTCAGAGAGGAGATTTTCTAGACATCAGGGCAGGAGAGGAAATGATTTAACTCAGCAACAGGCTGCCACAGTGAAGACTGGGATGGGATTAAGATCGGAAGCATTTATTTTATCAGCCAACAGTTTGACTGCCTGTTCTCCTGAGAGAAGATTGTTTATCCCAACAGGGAAAGGCTTATGGCCTGGCACTGTCCCCTGGCCTGCCCCATGGGGTATTCCCCATGCCAGGATCTCTAAGGCTTCTTCCAAAGTGTGTCCTGCAGAGACAGTGAGCAGATATTCCATTGTCACACATACAGCAGGAGCCTAGCACGTCCCTTCCTCTTAACACTTGCAGAGATAACACATGGAAGCCACAAGGCATGCGGGAAACAGTGTGGCCAATCTGATATGTGCAGCATGAAAGCCTGGAGCTAGATATCAGGTAGGACTTCCAGTAGGACCACTGAAGATAAGGACGTTAACTGCAGGGAAACAAGTGGGGAATCTTGCTCCCTGGTAACTAGCTAAATGTCCAGAGCAATGTCCTACCCTACTGGTAATTCTGCCATTTCCATTTCTTGGGTCACAAGACTCCTGTTTTCAGCAAGAATGCACCTGACCTCCACAGGCACCTGTAGGTCATCAGATTTCCTCTGGCATGTGGTAAACTTGGGCCTGTGAGGAGCTGTTCTTCCCTGGAAATAGCTCAGGACCCAAGAAACATGTGCTCTGCTGGGGTGAAGTAGGGCTGACCTGGGTTGGAACAGAAGGAAGATGGAATGAAGGGGCTTTAGAGCCAAGAGAATATGAAACACCCAGGCATGGCCTCATGCCTGCCTCTGGTATGGGCTTTATGCACACATGATTTGTGTGGGTCACCATAACAGGGCTCCGCGAGGGAGCTAGAAAGAATGAGACAAGGTCCCTGCTCTCCAGGGAGCAATTAGCTCATGAACCGGAAGCTGGGGATGCATAAAGGGCCCAGATTAGGGGAGAATAGCCACAGTTACCAAGCATCAAGTAGATGCCATAGGCTTCGTGTAGATTATTTCACTCACTCTCACAGCAAAATCATGTAGCAGGTATCCCTACTTTACACACAAGCAAATGGGCTCAGAGAGGTTAAGGAACTAGCCCAGTGCCACACAGCTAGTGAGTGGCGGGATTTTAACCACAGTCAGTCTCTCTGGTTCTAAATCTCATAGTTATACCACTCTGCTGCCTTCCAGCCCTTGTTACCCTCTGGTAAGCTCCTCTGGCATCATCTGTAACTCAGAGTCACCGATTACACCACACAGAAGAGGCCAGCACATCTCGATTTAGAGAACTCTAGCACAAGACACCAAGAGCGATAAGAAACTGATACAGCAAGCTAAAGGGTTGTCCTTTGTTCTGAAATTATATTCTTCCTACTTTTCATTTTTTTAATAATATTACAGGAAAAGTGAATGATACTTTTGCTTTTTATTTTCTTATTTGACAAAATAAAACATGGGACGTCCCAAAAGAGAAGATAGTTGCTACTTACTAGGGCTTGCCAACCATTGTACGTGTATTAGCCCTTCGTTCTTGGGACACCTCCTTTCACAGGACCTTGAGGCACAGGAGTTTAAGCGACTTGCCCAAGGCCACAACGCAGGTAGCTGGTACAGCGAGCGTTCAAACCCTAGTGGTCGGGCTCCAAGTCTGCACTACAGTTAGAGGCTGCGACTCTACCCCTAATTACAAGTAGGCTGACCCTGGCTGCAGCCTCATGTGCTCCCTCCTCTCAGGGACCCCAAAGGCACTCGCCCCGGAGACCTGGTCCCCAGCTGCCTCTCCTGTGGAGTACCCTCTCCCAGCATCCCCGGCATTTCCGTGAGCTATTCTTTTGTGGTTCCTGATGGTCACCCGTGGTCCCTTTGGAACCTATTGCTTACTCAGGCCACAAAGGGCTGGGGTGTAGAGGGCTTAAGGAGTAACTCCATTTTGTTTTCTAAAAGTCTTCCTTGCTGTAATATTGGGGTCCAAGACTGTGAGGCCCAGCCCAGCTGCAGTCAGACTCCTGCCATCTTTCCAGTCTTGCCAGCATGGAGCTGTGGGGCCAATCCCCTTGGAGGCACTTCCCTGACCCTTTGGGATCTGCAAGACCCTGACTGCTCCTGAGGCTCCCACGAGGCTCCCACGAGGCTCCTGAGGCTCCCACGAGGATGGCTGTGCAATTCTGGCACTCATGTGAGGCAGCAGTGTTGATTATGTAAAGACAAGGGGGGCGTTTGCCCATAGGGAAGAGCTAGGGAAGGACCGACACAAATTCAGGACAGGGATTCTTCTGAGGAGGGGAGAGGAATACACAGGGCATCAGAGGCTTCAAACGTGCTCTTTCTTGAGCTGAGTACATGTGGATATTTTTCTGTATGTTTCATCTCTGTGTTACCTATATTTGCATATATAAAATACCTCATAATAAAAGAAAAAATAAGTAATATCTGGAGTTCACTAGGCTGTACTGAAGCCACAGGGAGATGACTTTGGGTTGTGGCCAGGGCAGGATGAAGAGGCCGTGGTTCTGCAGCCTTATCCTGAGGCTGGGTGAGAATGTTGAGAGATGGGAGCTCTCTTCTCCTGGGGTAATCACAAGAGCAGACGTGAAAGGTGAGAAAACCAAGGTGTACAGTGAGCTGTGTCTGCCTGGGCCAGAGAGAGACGTGCCTGTGTGAAACTGTGTGTCATGTGTTGGGAAGCGGGCAGGGAGGATGTTCTTCGAGCTTGAAATTGCCACCAGAGCCATGCCTGTTTATGACAATGTAAAATGCTCAAAGACAGTAGGATTCCGGGGGCAGTAAGATGGCACTCGCCAGTATGGCCCAGCCTGGGAGGCTATGAGGGAGGCGGTGCCTGAGGAGGCCTGAGGAAGCTTCCAGAGGAGGCCTTCCTGTGGGATGGGCTGAGCAGGGGAGGGCTCCACATTCGCCCATGGGGACAGTCTGCAGGAGCCACCCTGTGGCCCACCTTGAGGGAGTGGCCGGGGTATTCTGGCCTAGGTGAGGGGAGGGCTGAGCCCAGAGAAGTGGCTGCGACCCTTTGACAGGAACACTCTAGAGACAAGCCAGCCCCCACCCACACCTTTAGGAGCAGCTGTGAGACCAAAGCCTGGAGGCAACAAGGAGAGGAAGAACTTCTTCTCTCCTTGGGAGCCAGACAGGAGAAGCATCTCTTACAGCCAGCGAGGTCAGGGCAGCCTCTGGAAGTGGAAGAGAGCCGGGACAGCCACATCTGCCCTCCTGCAGGGGCTTCTGGCCTGGATGGTGGCAATCAAGGGGCCATGGCAGGGGAGGCTTATGCTGTGTCACTGGGAGCTGAAGTTCATCTGATGGCTTCAGGTTAGCAGGAGCAGGGATGGAGCAGCGACACAGCGGGTGTGGCCAGGGCCCAAGCAAATGGCAAGTGGGGAGGGAGGGAGCTGGGCCTCTCCTTCCTGCCTGATGCCAAAGTGTCTTGTCCAAGCTGCCCTCTTACAATGAGGATACAGAGCCCAGAGAGGGGAAGTGATTTGCCCACAGTTATGCCGCACACTCTGCAGGCTGCGGTGGGATTGCCTCCTGACTCCTGGCCCAGTGCCCTCTCCACCACCTTGGGCAGGACCTTCCAGCTCGGGCTTCGAATCAGCATGAAGTGAGTTGATTTCTTGTCTTGTCACTAACACTGGCCTTCTGTTCACCTCCACCCCCCTCATGCCATCTGGGACCTCAAAAGACACCTGGCTTTCTGTGCTCGGTGCCTTTATTCTGCCCGTCTGAGATCACCATATTGATTCAAAGAAAGGAGGGAAAAGAAGTGTTTTAGAAAGGGCTAAAAATCTTGAGGGGACGTGACGCATGTTGTTAGCTTTTGTCTAGAAAATGCTTCATAGCTTTGTCCCAGAAGAGCTTTAAGAATGGCTGGCAGAGTCTGGGATAATCTAGTGCAATTGGCCAGGCCCTCTGGAGGAGTCTTCATACCCAAGGAGTCCATCAGCCTTCAAAATGCTCCTGGTAGAGTCTCTAGTAATTACTGTGCTAGCCATTGCCGAGATAGGAGAACAGCCCTCAAGCTCCTGCTCTGGCAAGCCACCCCACTATCAACAGCAGACTCCCTCAGGGGCTGAGCCTGCAGGTAGCTCCTCATTCCAGCCCCTCTGGTAGGAGAGTGCCGGGCCTCGGTCAGCACCTTCCTCCTCCCCCTCCTCTCCTGGCTCTCACATAGCCCTTCAGTTGCTCCTGTCCCCTTAGCTCCTGGCAGTGGGCAATGTGGCTGCCAGGGCCTGCCTGGGAGCCCAGAGAGGCTCACTACCCCGAGTCAGCTCCCTGGCAGGAGCTGTGTGAGCACAAATGCTGGGGGCCACTGCAGGTGTTCTCCCTTCTCACCTATTCCTGGGTGGAAAGTTGTACTTCCCACCGTGGTGGATATGCTAACCTATGGGTTCATTTCATCTTCATCACTATCCTGGAAAGGAGGTATTTGCATCCCCATTTTGCTGATGAGAAAACCGTGGTCCAGAAAAGTTGGGTGTGGTTCTCAAGACCTCCTAGCAGGTAGTTGCAGAGCCTGGGGCCTCACTCCACTCAGGCTCTCTTCCGTTTGCGTGAGGATTCCGTCAGTGCCAAGGATGAAGATGACCAGGCTCTGAAAAGCCCTGAAATATTTTATCTGTGTGACCAGAGAGCTGCCTATATCCCTTGGCACTCTTCTCAGCATATGGAAAATACTCCATGATTTTCTCTCCATAATAGTGTGCTTAGCCTGGGGCCTATGGAGTCTGTAAAGCCCCTGACATGAAGGTAAAATTTGGCATGTGTGAAATCATGTGCGTTTTTCTAGGAAGAGAGCCCTGAGCCCTTAGCAAAGGTATCTGGAACCCAGAAAAGTTCCACAGATCTGGGGGCAGAGAGACCAGGGTAATCCTGGCTACCAAGAGAAAGAAAGGAGAAAGAAAGGCTGAGGCTCCCAGGGGGATTCAGTTCTTGAGGAAGCAGACTCGAGTTCAGAATGTTGACTTTTTACCAGGTGATGCACTTGGGATCAACACCCATGGAAGGGAGGGGAGGCACACAGCATGGGGCAGAGTCTACCGCAAAAGCCCAGCAGCAGCCTTGGCCAATCCCACGTGGCACATCAACCTCAGCCCATGTTGGGTAAGAATGGTGAGCCTTTACATCCCCACTGAAATTGGTGCCTGCGTGTGGACAGCCCTTGGAAGGATGTGACTTTGGGCCAGGTAGCTCTCTGTAGCTGAGCCAATCTTTGGTGGGGCTGATGGGGCTGACAGCTAAAGGCACTCTCCACAGTGCTCCCAGCAGCTGAGCGAGAAGTCCTCCCTTGAAGGAGGGTCTGGGTGGCACATCACCAAGCCCAGCCCAGCATTTCTGCCCTTGGAAAAGTAGTGGAGAATAAATAATATCTACCTATCCATCCATCCATCCACCCATTTAACATTTATTGCACACATCTTATGAGCCAACCACCTATAATAAGTACCTGTGATAAAAAGGTGCACATGGCACCGTCTGGTGGAGGAGAGAGACACATCAGTGAATAATTAAAGCACAAAGTGGTCATTGCTGAAATACAGGCAAGTACCAAGAATTGTTAGAGCATAGAGGAGGGTGGGACTGACTCCTCCTGGGGAAGTGAGCGATTCCTGAAAGAGGTGACGATGCAGAGAAAGGAGTGGATGGAAGGCATCTCCAGCAGAAGGAAATCATAAAGCGGGATGGTGGCCTGAGAGGGTTCGGCAGATCTGGCAAAAGTATCAGTGTGGACGGAGTGGACAGGTCACTCGGTGGGGATGAGGGTAGAAAGGGAGATTGGAGTAAGATTGGGAATGGACTTTATCCCACCAGTATTGTGGAGTCACTGACGGGTTTGGGCAGAGGGTTGGCCTTGCGGAAATCAGCTCTGAGGATAGACAGGCTGTGGTGGCCACTGGAACCCCAGGGCACCATCTGTGTGCCAGGACCAGGCATGCTCAGCAGGTGCCTAGCATACCTCTAAGCATAAGCCAGCTTCCCACCTGAGTGACCCTCGGATGTGATGTTGTTCTGTTCCAACACACAGGTCATTCTGCTCTTTGGCACATGTGATATTCCTCTGAGAATGAGCGATGGCCCTGTTTCCCTACTTTCTCAAAGATGTTCACTTCCCATACTCAAATCCTGCTCTCATCCATGGAATGACTGTTGATGCACTGGGCCCTGTGTGTATCAGCCTAATGTCATGTGAACACATCAAAGCTTTCTGTGGAAAGCTTTCTGAAGGACCCCTTCATCTTGGTGCCACCCACGTTCTACTTTTGGCTTCTCAAATGGGTGCCCCAGCCCAGGGAGTAATCCTGTGACCAGCATCGCTCATATACCAGCAGTGACCTCACGTTTTCTCCCGGCTAGCGCACTGCCACTCGGAATGTTTCTGCAGCCTAAGAGAGTGGAGAGCCCCAGGACCCCCCTCCAGTGCTCTGGGAAGGGCCTTTAAGAAGCTGCTCAGGTCCCAGAGAGAATCCCATCCACATACTTCCTGTCGAAGGGCCAGGCTGCCTGAAATCTGACCCACTAGGGATGACAGCTGCAGACTGTGGAAGCTGGAGAGACACAGCCTGTGTCTTGGAAGGAGAGGAGAGATGTTCTGGGAGCTAGAGCGATGGGCTTCCAGTTCCATAAGAGACTGGATTGAAGTAGATGGCCTTCAAGTTAAATAGATGGTCCTTCCACTATGACAGCCTAAGGTGAAGATTCCAGCCTCTTCCTCAGACTTATTTGTAGATGGAGTGCAGAGGAAAACAGAGGCTGAGGACATGCTCTTGATGCTCAGCCACCAAAGAGAGGGTGTAAGGACTCAGGCCTCTGCTGTGCCCTGGCAAAGCACCAAAGCTCAAATCCACACTGACAAATGCCCACCCAGGAATCCCCACATCATGGGTCCCATGTGTTGGTGACACCCAAGACCAAGGCCCTTTCGCTGTTTGCTGCTCCAGTGGCTGGAACGGGGTAGGAGGAAGCCTCCAGAAAGCCTGTCCATTTGGAAGGCTGGGGAAGGCCATGGGGAATAGTGGGAAAACCCTACTTTTTCAGTTCCATGAAGGTTGACAAGGGGGCTAAATGTTGAGAACACCCCCCCGCTACAGAATTCTTCATTTCATTTTTCTGGGGACTCCTTTGGGACTCCATGCCATACGATTCTAGCTCAGAAAACAGCCGCCATCGCCGTCACCCTGTATTAGGGTCTACTGTGTTCCGGGCGCTGTCCTAGGTGCTGTGTGTGCTTTATTTTTTCCTGACAGCAACCTTGAAAAGTTGTTATTAGGATAACTTGCCCAAGTCACATAGTAAGTAGCAGAGCCGGGATTCTAACCCAGGTCTCCCTGACACCAAAGCCGTGTATGTTCTTTGCCCTCCACGATGTTATCTTCAACATTGCCACGTTGAGAACAGTCCAGGGGTTTTGTGGCCACCTTCCACCACACGGTCTTCTAGGTAAGTCTATGGAAGGCAGGCAAGGATAGGGGTTCCCTTTCCAACACTTTTTCATTGTATACCTGAGAGGGCCCCAGTCTCTCAGGTCCCCGAGCACGGAGATGGGCAAGGTGGAGCTGGGTCCACCAGCCAGAGAGCCTGGAACCTTGGGGCCAGTGGGCCTTGATAGGCCGGCCTCTGCCCTGGGATTCAAGCTCCTAGAGTGTCCAAGCAGGAAGGGTCCCTAGAGAAGAGCAAGCTCCCTCCGTGGAACAGATGAGGAGACTGGCCCAGGAGGAGGACACAAATTGCCCAAAGCCACAGAGCTAGTTAGAAGCATTGTGTGTGCGTGAGTGTGTGTGTACATGAGTATATGTGAGAGAGAGATTGTGTGTGAGGGGTGGCCCATGAACAAAGGCCCACAACAAGGCTATTTTTTAAAATTTGTTTTGTTTTATCACAAGTAGTTTATTTGGGACAAGGTGACCCCAGGAAAGGGCTGTAGAGGAGTAGGGAAATGAAACACAGAAGAGAATGAAGCCATGGCAGAGTTCATTAATTATCAAGTGACTGCTTTGGGCCACTGGGGCTCGATCCCACTGGGGACTTAGGGAGATGGTATAGGGTGTGCCTCAGAGTTGTCCCGTGCAAGGGACAGGGAAGCTGGGGCATTTATGCAACAACCCCGTTGTCATTGGCCGAGTGCTGCCATCAAGGGACGTCGGCACCCAGCACCTCTTGCCAAGCACATTCCAGCAATCAAAGAAAGCAGAGGGCTGGTATTAAAGGTGTCTGGACCCTTGAGTAGCCACCAGTTCCCTAAAGAGTCTTGAAAACCTTTTAGGGTAGAGAGATCCTGGGCATCAGTGCCAAGGACAATCTGGAGGAAAGATGAGTAAAACTGTATGCTGCCCGGCAGGCCCTGGACACAGGCTGTGCTGTGGTGGGAAGGGGCTATTTCCACGTGCTCCAGGGGAAGAGATGTCAGGTAATACAGCAAGAGAGGTTGAAGTTAGAGCTTAAAAAGAACTTCCCAGTGACACTAGTGAAAAACATATCAAAGATGTCTAGAGGCTGGGCACGCTGGCTCATGCCTGCAATCCCAGCACTTTGGGAGGCTGAGAAGGGACAATCATTCGAGCCCAGGAGTTCAAGACTAGACTGGGCAACATAGTGGGACCCTGTCTCTACAAAAAAAATTTAAAAATTTGCCCGGTATGGTGGTGCGTACCCACCTGTAGCCCGGTGTGGTGGTGCGTACCCACCTGGAGTCCCAGGTACTCAGTAGGCTGAGGTGGGAGGATTGCTTGATCCCAGGAGGTTGAGGCTGCAGTGAGCTGTGATTGAGCCACTGCACTCCAGCCTGGGTGAGTGAGACACTGGCTCAAAAATAAATAAATAATAATTTTAAAAAAGACATCTAGAGCTATATTGAGCCATGCAGCTTGATTGGTGGCCACAGAAGAAATGGTGGACATAGAAAAAGGCAGCAGCAATGAAGATTTTTCACGGCCAGGGCCAGCCAGCAAGCACTCCTTTATCTGCCAGAGGTGCAGGAGAGTGCTGGGAGGGCAGATGGAGATTGAGAGAAGGGAGATTCTCAACCCCACCCTTGGCTGGGAGGAAGCACCAGGAGGAACACCTCTCTGCACCCTAAGGTCCAGTGGAAGCCGCAGGAAGAGGTCCCTCCTCTGGTGTCATTTGGCCCATCTTTCATGGTGGCAAAGTCTTGGAAGACATAAGTCCTTAGGTTGCAGCTGTCCTGCACCAGGGCCACCCCACCACCCTGGGCCCCTGTTCCTCATTTATAAAAATGGGGAGGTTGGGAGGCTGCATTAGATGACCTTGAGGTCCCTTCCAGTCCTGATTTTCTGTCACTGTCCACTGTAGAGCCATCCCCGTGGCCCCTGGGTTCTCCTCAGTTCACCATCAACAAGTGTTGACTAAGCACTCAGCATTTGCCCAGCATGAAGGGGCTGGGGGACGTAATGAAATAACACATAGGCCCTGGCTTCTAGGAAGGGATAGCTGGGGAAATAAGAGTTTATTTACTGGGCCGGGCACAGTGGCTCACACCTGTAATCCTAGCGCTTTGGGAGGCTGAGGCGGGTGGATCACCTGAGGTCAGGAGTTCGAGACCAGCCTGGCTGACATGGTGAAACCCTGTCTCTGCTAAAAATACAAAAAAATTAGCTGGGCGTGGTGGTGCATGCCTGTAATCCCAGCCACTCGGGAAGCTGAGGCAGGAGAATCACTTGAATCCAGGAGGTGGAGGTTGCAGTGAGCCAAGATCTCACCATTGCACTCCAGCCTGGGCAACAAGAGTGAAACTCCATCTCAAAAAAAAAAAAAAAAGAAAAGAAAAAGAAAGTTTATTTACTGAGCACATACTCTGTGCTAAGCACCTGACCTCTGCTGCCTCCTTTCTTCCTCACTGTAACCTCCTAAGGTAGGAACTAGGACCTCCTAAGGTAGGAATTAGGACAAGGGAACCAAGACTCAGAGGAAAAGCCAGTTGCCCAAAGCCACACAGTCGTAGAGCTTGAATTTGAGGCCATGGTGTTAACCACGATGACTCTCCTCCTCTGGGAAATAGACAGTGACTCTCTAAGGACAGCTCCTAGTGTTCCAGGAGACACAGCAGTGAAAGCTGCAGTCGTCCAGGAAGGCCTCATGGAGGAGGTGGCTTAGCACTGGGCCTCAAGGGAGGGGCAGAACTTGGAGGCTAGTGGGGAAGGAAGCAATCTGAGGGAACCAACTCTACAAAGCAGGCTGGACCATGTCTGCTCCAGGCAGCAAGGTGTCTTCTTAGAGTAGGCAGGAGGGCTGCAGCCATGGCTCAGCCTGCTGTGGCTCCCGGGGAACAGAGGATGGGTCAGGGAGGAGCAGGTGTTTTCTAAACCCAGCAGGGCAGGAAGCCTCCTCTTCACAGCCGCAGCCCCCACACCTGGAGTCCACCCCCCTGGAAAGGCTTATGCCCAAGCCAGGCCAGGCACCCTGCCTCCTCCAGACTCATTTGGTCAGTCTAAAGATGAGCTGGCTTAGTGTAGATCAGCTTCCCCAGCCACCTGAGCCTGTGCCCAAGGAGCCGGGCCACCGATACTTACAATAGGTAACACATGTAGCAGTCACCATGACTCAGGCACAGCTTAAAGAGTTGTAAGTAACTTCAGCCGCCAGTATCCCTGTGAGGTAGGTACTGTTACTGTGCCCATTTTATAGATGGAGAAACAGAGGTGCAATGAGGCTGAGTGACCTGCTCAGGGTCACACAGCTCGTAAGAGGCAGAGCCCAGATGCACCGCTCTGCCATACTGCTTCTAAGCAGAGGCTCCTGAGCCCTGGCCATAGCTGCCCCTTCCCTCTGTCTGAGCTGCCTCCCCAGGTGCGGGTTCTTCTCCGTGCCCAGGGCTCATCCCTGCCATGGTAGCCCCTCCCTAGAGGAGACTGTGAAAGACACCCCCTCCAGTCCTTGCCACAGGAAAGGCAGGCCAGAGTGCCTAGCTTCTCTCCCCGACCCCCACATCCACACGCACCCTGTCGCCCTCTCCCCCAACCGAGCACCGTTGCCTTCTGTTCACAGTGATGGCTCCTGCACCCAGGCCGGTGGGGGCATGGAGGACTCCGTGGTGGCAGCGGCGGCGGTGGCAGCCGGCAGACCCAGTGCCCATGCCCCGAAGGCTCAAGCCCAGGAGCTGCAGGAGGAGGAGGAGCGGCCGGGGGCAGGGGCTGCCTCCCCAAGGGCTGGCCCCCAGCACAAGGCCTCCCCCGGCCGGCAGCAGCCTGCCCTGGCGACGGCGCTGTGCCCCCACGCCCCTGCCGCCTCCGATTACGAACTCTCCCTTGACCTAAAGAATAAACAGGTACCCAGGGCCTCCTAGGGGGGCGGGGAGGGTGGTGAAGGGGCCCTGCTTTGGGGGCTGTCGAGGGTACCAGGGATATCCCCGCTGGGTCCCCTCCGCTACAGGCACACCTCTTTTGCCACAGTTCTCCTGCATTGAGCGACCTAGTTTGCCCTTCCCTGGACCAGCCACAGGCCTCTGCCTTCTACCATGGCAGGGCTCATACCCTCGCAATGCCAGGCCCTTGGGCAGCACGTCCAGGGGCTCTGCTCCTCACACAGTGCTCAGCAAGCCTCCACCGCCCCACTGACCACTAGGCAAGGAGCCCACTGTTCTCTGGGGTGTCCCCACCTCCATCTGCTGCTTAGAGGCCATAGTCCAGCTTCCACGCCCACCAAGGGAGCCGGTGTTAGGCACCCACAGGCACAAACGAGGCACAAAGACAATGGTCTCCTCGAAGCAGACAGGATTCCCAAGATCAGTCCAGACTGGGGGAGTCCAAAGCTCCTCTATTGGAGAACAGATTCCATGGAGGGGCCTGGGCCTCCATTTTCCATTCAGGAAGAGAAAGTGGCCAATTGTGGGGCCCCCATTGAACCCCCAAAAAAGATAATGCCTCAGTTTGTCTTGGCAGACAAGAGTCTTGATGGAAGGTGTGTGTGTGTGTGTGTGTGTGTGTGTGCGCTTAGAGAAAGGTGTGATGGTGTGATACTGTTAAGGAAAGAGCTTTGAACTTGGAGATGTAGACATGGGATCCAGTCCTCGCTCTTCCTCCTATGAACTCAGTGACTTTGGGAGTTGCCAGTTAAACCCTCTGGGCATTCGTTTCCTCATCTGCAAAAAAATGAGAATTAACTTTGAATCACCTCCAAGGTCCCTTCTGCCCCAAAATGTGTAGGTTCTAGAGAACAATTCTTCAACCCAATAGGCAAGGTATCTTCAGAAAGGAAGCTAGTGGGAAGGCCACTAAGACTGAGTCAAGCCAAACTAACCTCCTTCCTCTCTTGGCATTGATGCCAAGCTCATATCCTGGCTCAGGCCAGCTGTAGGCAGCACATCAGTAAAGTGTTTGACCAAATCCCCCAAGATACCCTATGTGCACATGCCAGGAATGTGTGGATTACTAACAATATAGTAAGGAGGGTTGTTCTCAAACCGAATTATCCAAAAAATATTCATCAAAAAAAATCCCAGGGAGTTGAGTGGACATGCTGTCCAGGTCACTGATAAGGCACCAATTTGAGGCATACAAGTTACATTCACCTGGCTTTCTGATGACATAAAGCTGAAAGAGAACAGCTGATACCTTGGTGATAGCATCCCAGACTTTGTAAAAACCTCATCAGGGGCCAGGCGTGGTGGCTCATACCTGTAATCCCAGCACTTTGGGAGGCCAAGGCGGGTGGATCACGAGGCCAGGAGTTTGAGACCAGCCCGCCCAATATGGTGAAACCCTGTCTGTACTAAAAATACAAAAATTAGCCAGGCGTGGTGGCGCATGCCTGTAATCCCAGCTACTCAGGAGGCTGAGGCAGAATTCCTTGAATGCGGGAGGCGGAGGTTGCAGTGAGCCAAGATTGCACCACAGCACTCCAGCCTGGGCGACAGAGTGAGACTCTGTCTCAAAACAAAACAAAACAAAACAAAAAACACCTCATCAGGACAGAAGGATGGTTTTAATGAAAAAAAAAAAGTCGGATGAAATGTGGAAAAATCTAAAATTCTGCTCCCAGCTTCGAAAACCCCACAGCACTAGCATAAGACATTCAGGCCCTTCGCCCACTTTTTGAGAAGTGTCTGTTCATGTCCTTTGCCCACTTTTTGATGGGGTTGTTTGTTTTTTTCTTGTAAATTTGTTTGAGTTCATTGTAGATTCTGGATATTAGCCCTTTGTCAGATGAGTAGGTTGCGAAAATTTTCTCCCATTTTGTAGGTTGCCTGTTCACTCTGATGGTAGTTTCTTTTGCTGTGCAGGAGCTCTTTAGTTTAATTAGATCCCATTTGTCAACTTTGGCTTTTGTTGAACATGGCACACATCTATAGGAGACTGAACTCGACTCCTCTCTCTTCTGCCATGAGCTGTATGGCCTTGGGCAAGTTGCTTGACTTCTCTGGCCTCAGCTGCCTCCTATGTCTGGGACTTCACAGGCTCTTCCCTTGGCCTCAATCTCTGAAGTTTCCGCTCCCCTCCACACCCCTGCACTTGGCCTTCTCTTGCTTTAGTACTTGCTTTAGGTACCTCTTCCTCCTCTCAGGCAGTTTTCCCTGCCTCCCAAGCCTGCACTGGGTGTCCCTCTCAGTCATCCCACAGGGCCCGGGTGTCCCCGTCACAGCCCTTCAGCCCTGTGTCAGCATTTCCTGTTTGCTTGACCCCCTCCTTGAAGGCAGGTGCATGACTTGTTCCTCATTATATTCTCAGTGCTTAATGCAGTGCCTGGCGAAGAAGCTGCTGGAAGGATAAGAGACGGGAAATGATCACTTAGTGACATAAAGGGGGATGGGATGGGTATACAGCATGGCGCCAGGAACTGACTCTGCCTTAGGTCTCTTTGAGATCTAACACTTGATATTCCAACCCAGTGATTCCGCCAGCCACACTGAATCCCGTGTTCCATGGCCTGGGAGGGGTGTTGGACAATCTTAGCTCCCCAGCCCACCGACCCGCCAAGCCTCCTCTGTCAGCCAGTCCAGATCCCCAGGACGGTTTTCCTTGGCTGTTCTCCTTCCTTCGCCTCTGCTCTAGCCCCAAGCCCCACTGATGCTGCCTCTTAACAGTTCCCGAATCCCACCCTCTCTTGCCTTCCCCAGTGCCCCTGCCCCAGGAGGCCAGGCCATCCTTCCTCTTGCCTGCACGCCGGGAGACCTCCTGTGCTTCCCCTTCTTTGAGCTCTGTCCCTTCCAACCTCACCTCCACATTGCAGCTGAATCATCTTCCTAAAGTGCACCTCTGACCGCGCTGATCCTCGGGAAAGCCTCTGATGGCTCCTCACGGTGTGCAGGACAGAGGCCTCTCCAGGCTCCCTGCCACAGTCCCAGCCCCATGGGGGTTCCAGCCGTTCCTATTTGCTGTCCCGAATCTCAAGCCACCCTCACCTCTGGGCTTTTGTGTGGCTTTGTTTCCTCTCCTGGGGATTCTCCTCACCTGTCCCCGACCCCATCTGCTGCATCTGGAAGACTTCTGCTCATACTTCAGGTCGCAGCCGAGGCACGTGCTTTTACCCATTGCCTGTTGCCTCCTCTGTGCTGTCTGGGAGTGGGAGCTGTTCCGCTCAACAGCATGGACCATGTTGTTCTCAGGGCTGTGTGGAGTTGAGCAGGTGGTGCTCGGGACACCTCCAGGGTGCTGCATAGCCCACGTGAAGAGCCAGCGCTCCTGGAGCTGTGCCCTGGGAACTGTCCTGTCCTTGCCCATCTTTGCCGCCCTGCACCTTGCACAGTCTTGGGCACCTAGGAACTGCTCAGCAGGGAAGGAACATAGGAATGAAGGCACAAGTGAATGAGCAAACGAGGCCTACCCTCCAGCTTCCTGTTCTCCCTGCTGGCCCCTTCCCCAGCACCTGTCACAAGTCGCACAGCAAGACGGTCCTCCTGCCAGCTCTTCTCCCCTTCTCCCTCTGCCTTCGACCCTCTCACCCCACCCCAGCAGTCCTGGGGGATACAACCTAGGGCAGGCCAAGGAGTGAGCATGCAGGTCCCTTTGGGGAGCCCTTTAGGAATAGAGGGCCTAGGTGTCATTTTGAAATTCCTCCAAGCCCTCTAGGGAGTTTGTGTCCTGTTGCAGAGCGACTGGAGCCCTTCTTAGCCATCTGAATTGCAGAGCCCTCTGGGCTGCTCAGGCCAGAGGGCTGTGGAGTTGCAGTCAGTAGAATCTGGGCCCTGCTCCCCGAGCCGGGTCCTGGACAGAAGCCATGTTCTGCTGGAGAGCAGCCCCTCCCCACAGATCCCCATACCCCAAGCCTCAGGGTCCAGCCTCACTATGGGGCACCTCTTCAGGAAGATGTGGTGGCTATGTTTCTAAGTCACTTTCCCTCTTTGCATCTTGGTTTCCTCATGTGTGAACCAAAGGCTGTACCAGAGGGCCTCCTGGCCCCTTCCCACGCTGAAAGTGAGATTTCTACCATGGGCACAGAGAGCACCAGGGCACCAGCCTACAGAGGACAGTGGTGAGGACAGGGCACTCCATGGGTTGTCCCTCTCCCCGGTTCATTCAGTTCAGGGAACAGCACTGCACAGCTGCTCTGTCGCAGGCCCTGTGCTAGGCCTGGAGATGCTATGATGCAAAAGATACAGGCCTAGTCATCAGGGTGCCCACAGCCCAGTGGTGGGCAGACACGGGGCCAGCACCAGTGTTACTACCTGAGCACTAGCTCTGTGTCAGGCCCAGGCTAACGGTTGCCATGTGTTATCTCCCCGGGTCTGCACAACGTCCCCGTGAGATTGGCACCATTACCGTCCCATTTCTGGAATGGGAAGATTAAGGCTGAGTGATGGTGATGTTAAGTAACTTGCCCAAGGACACAGTCCTAGGAAGTAATGCAGCCAAGACATGGACTCCGCAGCCCATGGTTTCGACCCTGTACCTTCCACCATCTCTTGGCATTACAGTGAGGAACAGGCCCCATGGAAGTGGCACACAGGGTCTGTGGAGCATGAGGAGGGCAGGCAGCCCAACCTGGGATCAGAGCCAGCTCCTGGGGCAGCCCCACTGGAGGGTCTCATGACCTCACTACTAGCTGAGCCATAGCGTGTCCCCCATGCCTACCTGGCTGCCCACTCCCAGGCAGGCCTCAACGCCCTGCGTGTCAAGCACTTGCTGTATTCCAGACAGCAGGCTGGGAGGAGGGCACACAGAGCAGGCATGAGTCCCCTGCCTTGCAGGAGGCCACAGCCCTGCCCAGCACAGACCCAAGGCTCCTGTGGGCCTCTCTGAACACCCCCAAAGCACCAGCTTCCCCAGTCTCTCTGCTCCTCAGCCTCACACCCGGGCTCGCCAGGCCAAGTTCTGGAGGCTCACAACATGCTGTGCTTTCATGGTCTCAACTGGGAAGTCTTGGATGGGAACAAACCCTTGGAAGCCCCCCACACCTCCCCGCGATCCTCAGCACTGTGCCCCCCAGCTAGCGGCTCTTCCTCCCCACACCTGGCCCCCGCTCCTCAGCACTGTGCCCCCCAGCTAGCGGCTCTTCCTCCCCACCCTCTGGCTTGGCCGCCATCTTTCAGCGGCCTCTTCAGGCTCAGCTGCCACAGCAACCTGAAAGAAGGGGGCACGTTCTAATTAACACTGAGAGGCTCATTAGAGAGACGGAGGCCCCCGCGCCCCTGCCGCTGCTTCTTCTGGCAGAAGCTGAGAAATTGCTCTCTTGGCAGGGGGCGAGGCCATCATTCCTCCTGGTTCCTGGGGTTTAGAGGGAAGTGAGCAGAGCTGCTCCCTGGCCTACAGGCCCAGAGACCCCCCACTCCCTGGGGCTGCCTACCCTCCCGCACCTCTCTCTGCTCTCTGACCTGGCCCTGGTTCAGAACGGGATTGGGGTAGACGGGAGGGCCTCGCTGTCATGGATGGAGCTGACCTGGGCCATTACTGAGTCCCCAGGTCCTGCCAGGATGCCAGGGTGGGAGGAAGGATGGAGTGCTGGGTTCCAAGCCCCGGCCTGGACAAGAGTCTGGAATTTGATTTCCCTGGGGTCACAAGAGAGAATTCAGTTTAGTTCATGTCTGCAAACACTTATTCAGCCTCAGCCACAGGTCTGGCACAGCACTGGGCACAAGAGATGCAGAGACAGATGTCTTGCCTGTGATGGACAGTCCGCAGCGAGAGCTCTGAGCAGGGGGTGGCACTGAGCATTGAGGGTGGGGAGGAAGGTGGCACTGAGCATTGAGGGTGGGGAGGAAGGTGTAGGGGACAGTGCAGGTTGGGGGCCTGGCAGGCCCAACTCTGGGATCAGTGGGAGTTGGTTGATAAATGGGTTAGGACACACGATGGTGAACCCGGAACTGAATTCCAGTGTTATTCAGGGAGCAGTTGCTCCATGCCAGTTAAGGTGCTCGGTGCTGGACAGGATGACTAAGACATATTTGATGCCGTGAATAACTTATGCTCTGTTGGAGCCTGGGGGAGGGAAAGGGAGGGAAGGATGGGTTGGAGAAATGCCACAAAGATTAGTGGAGGAGACTGAGTGTCAAAGAGAAATTGGGGCCCGAGGCAGGGAGACCCCGTCTGTTCGGGGCATTGAGAGGGCTGCATGGAGGAGACACATTTGAGATAGGTCTCGAAGAAGAGGACATTTCTACCTGGAGGAAAGGGGAGGCTGGGAGTTGAGGTTGGGGAGAGCATTGCAGGCTGGGAGAGAACACAAATGAGTCCCCAAGCAGGGAGCCTCGTGGGGGCGGTCGGGGGAGAGCAGGCAGGAGCTGCTGAGCAATGTGGACTTTGTGGAGTAGGACTTTGTGGCCCAGCCAGATTGTTAGGGTTGGAAAACCAGGAAGAAGCGTTTTTATCTGTTTGGGGCAATGGTTCTCAAACAAAGAAAAGCCTGTGTTGACACCTGCTGTCTGAGAGCTTGGGTCTGGTTCTGCAGTGTAAGGTGATGGTGGGAGTAAGAAGGACACAGAGATAGTAAGGATGCTGCTGGCATGGTCCAAGTGGGAAGAAAAAGAGCCCTACGTGGTGACATTCTGGAAGGATATCATGGATGATTGCAAAAGGTATAGGGGTGGGGGGTCCCAGGAGCTACAGGAGGCTGACAAACACAGTGGACAGGGCAAACGAAAACCCCAGGACAAGGCAAGTTTCCCAGGCTGGGTGCTTGTCAGGCCAATAAGGAAGTCAACAAGAGCTGGTTTGGGTGAGGTAGGGAAAACAGTGGCATAGCCTAGATGGACAGAGGATACACAGGCTGCTGGAAATGTGGGTCTAGGATCAAGGCTAGGTATGGAGGCTTGAGAGTCATTCCCATCATTGTCACTGTCACCATTAAGCAGCTACCACTTATGAAGCTCCTGCTCTCTGCTGGGTGCTCCATGAAATAATTTAATCCTCACAAGAAGATACAGGGTCAGCAGGATAAACCCCACTTAATAGATATGAAAACTGAGAGTCAAAGATGTTAAATTCATCCAAGTCCAATCAGCTGGGATCTGGGGCTGGCCATTCCCCTTACTTGCCACTTGCTCACTGGCCCATCAAAGTAGAAGTTAAGAGAGTGGACTGGGTCCTCAGAGGGAAGGCAGACAGGGCTGAGAAGGTATCCACCTGGGGAGCACGTTTACAGTGACCTGGAAGGCTCTGACTGACACAGCTCCCTTCTTAATTCATTGTTAATTATCACCCATCACGGGCTCCTCTGATGATGTCCAACACAGAAGCCGTGGATGATGTCCAGAGTGTACGGGGAAAATTAAAACGTGTGGAGACTGGCAGTGGCACCCATGTGACTCGTAATCAGCACACGTAGGGGTTTTGTGGCCAGAATACAGGATTAAGGGGTTGTAGGGAGACAGGACAACCAGGATAGACTGAGTCATGAGCACTGGGGAGAGTTGCAGAAAGGAGCCAGGAGGGAGGCTGAGGAGGCCCCTGGGGCTGAGTGACAAGCCCCAGATCTGCCTCTTCCTTGCTGGTTGGCCTTGGATGAGTTTAACATCTCTCGCCCTTGACTGAGATGGGAGGCAGCAGGACCCAGAGCACAGGGCTCAGGGCAGGGTTGGGTCAGCATCTGGCCTTTGCTCCTGGAGTGAGGCACAGGTTAGTGTTCTGGAGGTTCAGTGTAAAATAGGAAGAAAGGGAACAGGCTAGGGCAGGGTTGGGTCAGTATCTGGCATTTGCTCCTGGAGTGAGGCAGAGGTTAGTGTTCTGGAGGTTCAGTGTAAAATAGGAAGAAAGGGAACAGGCTAGGGCAGGGTTGGGTCAGCATCTGGCATTTGCTCCTGGAGTGAGGCAGAGGTTAGTGTTCTGGAGGTTCAGTGTGAAATAGGAAGAAAGGGAACAGGCTAGGGCAGGGTTGGGTCAGTATCTGGCATTTGCTCCTGGAGTGAGGCAGAGGTTATTGTTCTGGAGGTTCAGTGTAAAATAGGAAGAAAGGGAACAGGCTAGTGCCCCAGCGGCAGCGGAGTCAGCAGTTACGCTGTAGCCTGGGGAGATCTGTGGCCAGGTGCAAAGCTGCAGATAGGACGAAGGAAATGGGAGTAAAAAGAGCATGTGTAGGGTGAGCTGAACACACAAAGGAGGCAGGAGCGGGAGAGCGTCTGCTGAGTCAGATTAGGAAGGTTTTTGAGAGTCACAAATATAACTTTGGAATTAATTTGTCGAATACACACTCATTGAAGGCCCACTATGTGCTGGGCACTGTCCAAGCATTGGAGGAGATAGCAGTGGCCACGGCAGGTGAAATCTGCCCTCGTGGGACTTGATGTCTAGTAGAGGATGTGATGGGACAGATGCAAGAATTTAAAATCTGGTTTTCTTTCCTGCTTGGGTGAAGCATAGACATTGCCCAGTAGTACACGGAGTCTCCTAGGGTTATGTCAGCTGGTCTTCTGCCTTCAAGCAGGATGATACCATGCCAAGGGCATGGACCCCATCACCATTTTGGAAGCATCTCAAGCAATGGATTTCATACCTTCCCTGTGTTGCCAACAGCATCTCGTGCTGCAAAAGGATGCTCTTGGGCCTGGGGTTTTCCTAGAAGTATAAATAGGCCAGACGGGAAAGAAATGTGAAATCTGGCCGGGCGCAGTGGCCCACGCCTGTAATCCCAGCACTTTGGGAGGCCAAGGTGGGCGGATCACCGAGGTGCCAGGAGTTCAGGTCCAGCCTGGCCAACATAGCAAAACTCTGTCTCTACTAAAAAAAATACAAAAGTTAGCCAGGCACAGTGGCACATGCCTGTAATCCCAGCACTTTGGGAGGCCAAGGTGGGGTATAAATAGGCCAGACGGGAAAGAAATGTGAAATCTGGCCGGGCACGGTGGCTCACGCCTGTAATCCCAGCACTCTGGGAGGCCAAGGTGGGCGGATCACCAAGGCACCAGGAGTTCAAGTCCAGCCTGGCAAACATGGCAAAACCCTGTCTCTACTTAAAAAAATACAAAAATTAGCCAGGCACAGTGGCGCACACCTGTAATCCCAGCTACTCAGGAGGCTGAGGCAGGAGAATCGCTTGAACCCAGGAGGCGGAGGTTATGGTGAGCCGAGATCGTGCCACTGCACTCCAGCCTGGGTGACAGAGCGGGACTCCATCTCAAAGAAAAAAAAAAGAAATGTGAAATCTGTCAGTTTCTCATGGTGCTTGAATAGGGCTGACAGACAGAAATTGAGAGAAAAGGAGACATTTTAGTGATCAGTTCCCCTTCCTCTCTACATTTCCCCTTGGGGAAGGACTTTCCTGCCTGAGCCAAAGCCAAGTCCCTATTCCAGGCCTCAGGGAATGTGTCAAAGTTCAGCAGGGAGAATGAGCCAAGCTACATTATTTCCACAGGAGCAGGAACAGAATGCCTCAGAGGCAAGTATCTGTGTCTCTTATGGGTGCATGAGGTCATACCTAGTAAAGATCAAGTGGGGAAGTGTCCAGTTCGTACCGTGGGCAAAATTCTCAGATGGCCCCCAAGTCCCCTTCATGCTAGTGTACACATCCTATATAATCCCCTTCCCTTGAGTATGGGCAGGATGAGTGAATGTGATGGGACATCACTCCAATGATTAGGTTACCAATTGGTTGATTTTGAGTTAATAAAAAGAAACATCACCCAGGGTGGGTCTGAGCTAATCAGGTCAGCCCTATAAATGAAGCTGAAGCCCCAGACAGACACTGTGCCGTTAGCCTTGAAGGACCAAGCTATCAGGTTATGAAGCAGGCCACATGGTAGGGGACAGCAGGCAACCTCTAGTGACTGAGGGCCTAAGTCCTGTGATTACAAGGAATTGAATTGTGCCAACAAGAGCGAGCTCAAAGGAGGACCCCACACCTTAGATGATATTGCAGCCCTGACTGATATCTTGGTTTCAGCCTGGTGAGATCCCGAGCAGATAACCCAGATGAGCTGTGCCCAGACTAGATTCACAGAGCTGCATGAGAAATAAACAGGTGCTACTTTAAGTGGCTGGATTTGTGGTCATGTGTTACACAGCAATAGATGAGGAATACACTTGGTGTGGTTTAGAGCACCTTGAAGACCCCTCCAATAGGGGGATTGTGATAGCACTGGGAGCTTCCTCCTGCTCAGGGCCTTGTCCCTCATGAAATGCAAGTAACTTTGGGAGAAGCCATATAGGAAGGCTTAGTTGCCATTTACACATTAATCTGCGTGAGTTCCAACGATCTCCAAGGGTAGAGTTGGATGTTGGGGGAGACAGAATGATGTCCCCAGGTTTGGGAATGGGGAATGGGAATGGCCAGGCTGGAAGCACTGGAGGCAAGCACTAAGGATGTCTCATTTTATCTGGGATTGTCCTTGGGGATTGGGGTTGAATCCACAAGGTGTCCTGAGCTAAGAGGCTACCTCTGCTAGCGTGGAATGGGGCACCCATCACACCCTGCAGGGAGGGAGCAGAGGGCACGGCTGGGCTGTGGGAGGCAGGCATTCATTCTGGCTGCAGCCTTTGGGGGCTCCAGTGGAGCAGGAAGCAGGTTGAAGTGTTGTGCTGAGGGATGAAGTATGGCCTTTCTATCTGTACCCTCGCCATCCATGATCCCTGGAGAACAATCTGTACCCTCCCCACCCATGATCCCTGGAGAACACGGGACGTCCCTGTTCTTGCCTTGAGTCGTTCATCTCAGCGCACCCATCCCGATTCTTCGTTCATTCGGGAAGGACACCACGTGTAAGTGGCATGTCTGGTTGTGAATAGGAAACACTCGCACTTCCCAAACTTCTCTGAGGGCTGATCAGAGTCTAGGATGCCACCATTTAAGCCCATCACCTTCACACAGGCCTTGTCCCTTATTTAAAGGCAGAAGCCTCTGGGGGCATGGCTGTCATACCTCCCCAGTCCTTTCCTGAGAAGTTTCCATAGGGAGGAAAAGTGAGAGCGTAGCAACCTGAGAGGAGAAAACCCACGGACAGGAGGACAGAGCCGAGAGGAGGCACGCTGGCCCCCTGACAGAAGTTTTCCTGGGATCAGATCTGCCCAGGTGAGGTGCCATGCCCCCGAGCCCACCCCACCCAGCCCTGCCCTGGTTGGACAGCTCCCACCGTAAGAGCAGAGGTGACTCAAATTGGGGAACTCTTGGTAATGGTGGCCTGGAGGGACCCCCATTCTTGAGACACCCACTCAACTTTTTAGCAAATCCACGTTTACTGAGCAGCTAACTATGTACTGGGAACACACAGATGGTCCAACCCCAATCCCGACCCTTCTGATGTTCCCAGGGAAAGGAGCCACCCCAACACAGAGACATGGTTGCTGGGGAGGAGCAGGGAAGCACGAGGAGCTGTGAGGGTTTTTAGCATTTATGTTTTTCATTGTTTAGGGGAGGAGCGGGGAAGCACGAGGAGCTGTGAGGTTTTTTAGCATTTCTGTTTTTCATTGTTTATTGTTTTAAAGTGTGCACAAAAGTAGAAACGACAGTGTTATAAACTCCCCCGTAGCTATCATCCAGCTGTAACCATTTTATTAATATTTATTAACATTAATATTGTGTCATCTAACTCTTCCACATTTTTTGACAGAATATTTTAACACAACTTCAAGATATCATGCATTTTACCCATAAGTACTTCTGTATGCATCTCTGACATGAACTTAAAAAAAAAAAAAAAAAGAAGAAAAGAAAAGAAAAAAACAGAGACAAGGTCTCACTGTTTTGCCCAGGCTGGAGTGCTGTGGTACAATCATAGCTCACTGTAATCTCCAACTCCTTGGGCTCAAGCAGTCCTCCCACCTCAGCCTTCCCAGTAGCTGAGGACCACAGGCGTGCGCGCACCAGGACACCCAGTTAATTTTTTTTTTTTTTTCAAGAGAGAGACAAGGTCTAGCTATGTTGCCCAGCCTGGTCGCAAACTCCTGAGCTCAAGCAATCTTCTCTCCTTAGCCTCCCAAGATGCTAGGACTGCAGGCCTGAGCTAATGCGCCCGGCCATGAACATTTTGTAATACCCGCCACAGCATCGATATCTGAACGCCATATGCAGCACCTCCCTCCTGGCCCTTGAGACATCACTAGTCCCCAGAACGGACCCCTCCGTCCTACACCTCTAGGAGTCTTGCCACGTGGCCAGGACGTTCTAGGCGGTTCAGACTTTAGCTGCCCAGGAGCGCCCCCCCGCCCCCGTCCATTCCTGGGCCCCACCCGAGTGTGGCCGGGTGACTCCACCACTCCTCAGAAGGGCTGACCACCCTTCCCCTCTGAGCCCTTCCTCCTCTCTGTCCTCGTCCTTGCAGATTGAAATGCTAGAACATAAGTACGGCGGTCACCTGGTGTCCCGGCGCGCCGCTTGCACCATCCAAACCGCCTTCCGCCAATACCAGCTCAGCAAGAACTTCGAGAAAATCCGCAACTCGCTTCTGGAGAGCCGCCTGCCACGGCGGATCTCCCTGCGCAAGGTGCGGTCACCCACGGCCGAGAGCCTGGCGGCCGAGAAAGCGCTCATGGAGGGCTACGGCCTCGTGGGGCTGCCGCTGGTGCGCTCGCCCTCCCTGCCGCCCACCTTCGCAGGCACCCTCACCGAGCTGGAGGACTCCTTCACCGAGCAGGTGCAATCCCTGGCCAAGTCCATCGACGACGCGCTCAGCACGTGGAGCCTCAAGACCATGTGCTCCCTGCGGGAGAGTGGCGCTTACCAGCTCCACCAGGCCCTGCAGGCGGCCGCGGGGCCCCCAGGCCTGGAGGCCGAGGGGCGGGCGCCGGAGAGCGCGGGCCCCGGGCCCGGGGATGACGCCGCGGAGACCCCCGGCCTGCCCCCGGCCCACAGCGGGACCCTCATGATGGCTTTCCGGGACGTCACGGTGCAGATCGCCAACCAGAACATATCCGTCTCCTCCTCCACGGCTCTGTCGGTGGCCAACTGCCTGGGCGCTCAGACGGTCCAGGCCCCCGCAGAGCCCGCGGCGGGCAAGGCCGAGCAGGGCGAGACCTCTGGGCGGGAGGCCCCGGAAGCCCCCGCCGTGGGCCGGGAGGACGCGTCAGCCGAGGACTCATGCGCAGAGGCTGCGGCTAGTGGGGCGGCGGATGGGGCCACAGCCCCCAAAACAGAGGAGGAAGAGGAGGAGGAGGAGACGGCGGAGGTGGGGAGAGGGGCCGAGGCCGAGGCAGGCGACTTGGAGCAGCTGAGCAGCAGCAGCACGTCCACCAAGTCCGCCAAGTCAGGCTCGGAGGCGTCGGCCTCCGCCTCCAAGGACGCCCTGCAGGCCATGATCCTGAGCCTGCCGCGCTACCACTGCGAGAACCCAGCCAGCTGCAAGTCGCCCACGCTCTCCACCGACACCCTGCGCAAGCGGCTCTACCGCATCGGCCTCAACCTCTTCAACATGTAAGTCAGCCCCGGCCCCCAGCCCGGAGTCCTGGGCGTCCTGGGAGGGAGGGAAGGAGGAGGGCACCTTCCCTCCACCAAGCAGGGCGCCAGGTAACTTCCCACGTCATGCCAGGGTCCTCCAGGCAGGCGCATCTGTGCCGTGCCTGATCCCTGAGGTCATGTTTAGGAAGTACATATTTTATTTTAATCATCCTGAGTTTATTTTAAGAAAGATTAAAGGAAAAAAATAACACATCAGACACATGCTTTCACAACTGTTACAGCTTAAGATGAAGCTAGGGTTTGAAAAGTAAGAGAATGTAAAAGAAAAGACAGTATTAAGTAAATAACAGTCCAGGCCGTTTGAGGATTACGCAGCAATCATTCGGGTGGATATGAAGCCAGGGAAAACGCATTAGCTCCCAGGGTTGGTGAAATGCGAGGCTGGGTGGGGGAGGGAGGAGAGGCGCCTCGTAAAGAATGCCGGCTGAGAGCAGGAGAGGGGAGGGCTACGAGGAAGAGAGAGTGTGAAGCAGGCAGAGGCACAGGAGAAAGAGAACAGGGGAGAAATGACCGACCGCCATAGCTCAGAGACCCCAGCGAGACCGGGACTGGTCCTGCACCGAATGTATACAGCCAGTCCCAAGCAGAGGAAAGGAAGCACACCTGCCCCTCCCATGGAAATGTCAGGTCCAGGAGGCAGGCACTCGCCTCCATCCTCCACTCGCCCCTTCATAACCCTGCGCCAAGAGCACATCTCCCCGGCCCTAATGCGTGTTCATTCGTTCATTCGGCTGTTATTTATTGGGTGCCAGGCACTGTGACCACAGAGGTGAGAAGGACACATCCCCTGGCCTCAAGAGGCTCCTATTCTAGGGGAAGTAGCTACTGTTCATAGCTCACCTTACATAAAGCATCTGTAATCTTCCAGCAGTATCTACACAGAGGTATTACCATGCTGTTTTACAGAAAAGAAGCCGGCTCACACCAGTAAGGCGAAATGCACACGATGAAATAGCTAGTACTCGGCAGACCTAGGGAAAGGCGGATCTGACTCTGAACCACTCCCACTTCTGCAGTGTCTCTTCTGCATGCACATGAAAACTCATACAGACACTCATCTGCCCCAAGACAGGAATTCTTAAACTATCCATAGTGAAGAACCAGTTTTGTTCCCCCACACCCTTCTGAAAATACATTGTGGGCTAATACTTTTGTAAAATACAATAAAAATGAGGTGCTAGAAAGACAATCACATGCCTGGCTGTCCCGGAAAATGTCGAAATGCTATGGGAGGTTCTCAGTGCTTACCTTGTGTTTCTGTACTTATCTCCTCCCGGACCTGTGAGGAACAGCTCAGGGAGCAGCATGGCTTCAAAGCTTGCAAAGGGAAGAGGTGGTGTGGCGGAGGTCTCACCTCTGTTTCTCCCACCCTCTCTCCAGGGTTGGGGCGTCTGCGGTGGGGACCTGCATATTGACAACAGGATATGGGTAGGGGGAAGGGCAGGACTGGGGTAAGACCCAGGAGGCAGGGACAGAGAAGGGTACTTCTCCTCCATCTGCTCTGGAATTCACTTTGTTTGCAGATCTCCCCTGTCCTCCTTCTGGTCACACACCATCCTCTGCGTGAGGACATTCAGTGGGTTGAGGCTCTGGTGAGAGAAGCTTCAATGGGGAACTGGATTTCCAAGAACCTCTGGGTACTTCTATGGGTGGAAGACAGGGAGGAAAGAGTCATGGATGGCTTCAGCTCACTCTCTACTGCTTCTCCCCACCCCCACCTCCAGAAACCCCGACAAGGGCATCCAGTTCCTGATCTCACGCGGCTTCATCCCGGACACCCCCATCGGTGTGGCCCATTTCCTCCTCCAGCGAAAGGGCCTCAGCCGCCAGATGATTGGAGAGTTCCTGGGCAACAGCAAGAAGCAGTTCAACCGCGACGTGCTGGAGTGAGTACCCCACACTCCGGGCTTTCCCCACTCCTTCCCACACCCCACCTGCCCGGGCTCTCTCTGTGAGCTCCTTGGTGAAATCCTCGCTCCAGTTCTAACAGCTTCCAGCTTCCAGATTGTCCACAGGAACCAGAATCCCCTCTTTAGCCCATCACCCCAGTGGGCCGGAGCCCTGTCTCCCGTCAGAGTCATTGATTGAGTTCGCCCCAGGCCAGGCTTCGTTTGAGGCAGCAGGGATACAGAAATGGTCCAAAGAGACAAAAAGCCCTTTCTGCCTGTCACTCTCCAGGGCAAGAGAAACCAGGAAAAGGAAAGGGCTTGTGTCAGCACTGGGGTTCATCTCTGCCTGGTGAAGAGCCCCTCAGCCCCCCTCCCCCAGGACCCTCCCATTCTCCAAGGTTCATTTTCATATCGCTGGAGGCAAAAATGTGAGACAGAAAAAAGAAGGGGTTAAACTGAGGGTTTTAGAGCAAGAAAATACTACAATTCCATAAAGATAAATCTACCAACAAAATCATGACCAAAGAAAAATTGTTTCTTTAAAACCAAAGAAAATGGTTTTAAAGTCCAGTAGCAGGGTGGGGACCCCCAGGGGGCTGCCTTTGCCCCCGCTCAGCCTTGATAGTGTGGACAGGCAAGAGTCTCTTCACACTCATGCCTTGTCCAGAATGGCAGGGCGGGGCTGGCGCTCCTCTGAGGCTGAGGGGCCTTGCAGCTACTCCTTCCCTGGGACATCGGCTTCAGCCCCTGCCATGCCCCCGTGCTCTTTCTGGCTTCCACTGGTCCCCGAGGTTGGCCTCCTTCTTGAAGGTCTCCATTCTTCAGGGACCCTCCCTCATTTCTCTCCCCTCTTTCTCCTTGGGGACAGTCAGCAGAAGTGTCTCCCCGGAGGCCCTGGGAAGAGCTCTCCCTTTCATCCTCGCTCCTGGAGCAGCAAGGGACTGCCAGAGAGGGTTTGGACGCTGGGGGAGTCATCCACCCAGTGGTCAGCTTCCCTGGAGTGGGAGCTTGGATATTTCACTTCTATTTATGGAGCTGTCTTGGTGCTGTGTGCCCATATTGAGAAGCCCCTGTCCTCTGGGCCTGCGTTTCCATGCCTGCAGAGTGGTGCTGGGTTGTGAGGGCTGGACCCATTGCCCTCTGAAATCCCTGTCACATTTCTAAATCCACTGACGCGGTGGTTTTCTGACTGAGTTCAATGAGTGAGGGCTGGGGTTCGCACAGGTACCTTGAAATCCCTGCACAGCCCTCAGCTGGGCAGAACTGAGTTCCTGTCCCTGACTCTTGGTGGCTTTTGACAATTTATCATCCCTCCTGGAGCTGCTGGTGGAGACGCTCTGTGGACCTCAAAGAGGAAAGAGAGACAATGCTAGGCAGCGCCTCCCTCTCACCTCCTTTCTCTTCTCCCTCCGGCTTCCCTTCCCTTCCCCAGCACTGCTGTGGGGGCCCATGGAGGTGCTACTGGGATCCAGGATACATCTAGGTTGCAGAAGGGGAGAGATGGCATTTCCTCACGCCCTTCCTTTTCTGTGTCCCCTAGTTGGCTCATCTCTCTGGCTTTCCTGCACTGTTGTCCCAGTCCATCCCTTCCCAAGCCAGGGTGAGGTGCTGGCCCCGTAGCCCCAGGCACCCCTGCTGTCTCTCTGCTCTGGGGGCAGGAGTGACTCTGCTTCACCCACAGGCCCTGACTGTTGTCTGTTTTCTTCTGTCTTTCCCAGTCTCCATGTGGCCTGCGCCCTAAATTCTAACCTGCAAGGCCCACATTGATCTGGAGTGCTGGGAACACAGCGTTTTCCTGCAGCCCAGGTGGTGCTGAGTCGCACAATGGAAACTAATTGCCCTCTTCCCTGGGAGGCTGCGTGTATGGGCTGTGGGCTGGAGGCTTGGAGCAGTGGCTGCAAGCCTGTGCTGAGGAGGGGAGCTGGGCTGGGGGCTGGGGGCTGGGCTAACCTTAGGTAGGGATCAGGCTTGGGATGGGTAGGGGCCAGACTCCCGCGTTGGTACACTCTTCCAGTGAGAAGAGGCAGCGTGGTGAGATAGGAGAAATAGCTGGACCCGGGCTCTGCTCCTCTGTGCTGTGTGGCTTTGGCAGGACACCTCTCTGGGCCTCGGTGTCCTCATCTGTAAAATGAGAGGGCTGGGCGATGTGATTGCAAAAGTTTCTCCAAGTCCTGAGAATCTACCACCTTTCCCATCTCTTAGTGCATTGGTAGCACTGCCCTAAACACTGGGGCATGATTTGTCATCCTGCCAGAGCAGCCCACAGGCCCCAGGGCCGTGCTGGGGTGCCAGAGTTCATGCAGGGCAGTGCTGGGGTGCCAGAGTTCATGCAGGGCAGTGCTGGGGTGCCAGCGTTCATGCAGGGCAGTGCTGGGGTGCCAGCGTTCATGCAGGGCAGTGCTGGGGTGCCAGGGTTCATGCAGGGCAGTGCTGGGGTGCCAGGGTTCATGGGGGAATGAGTTGGCCATTTGTTATTCATTCAACAAACATCGAGCACTTATTTATTGTGTGTTGAGAATGGGGCCACGCTGGGCACCCGTGTGTGTGTGTGTGTGTGTGTGTGTGTGTGTGTGTGTGTGAAGAGGCATGGCTCACAGTCTCAGGGAACGTACAGACCCAGGTGTGGATGGGGAGAGGTGAGAAGCAGGAGCATGGAAAGAGAGTGAGAAGAGCAAGGGGCCTCCAGCCGGAACCCTGGCTTGGGCAAGGTTGAGTGCAGAGCTAAGCCCTGATATGCCCTGGTGAAAGCCGCAATCCCTCATGCTTGATTGTGTAGCCCTGCAGGCCTGGCATGCTGACTCAGCGCCACAGAAAGGAGCCCCTCCCTGAAGTCCATAGGTCACTGACTGCCTTGCTTCTCTCCGAGGTGGAGAGGGCCCTGTCCTGCAAAGGGCAGGAGAAGATGGAGAAGCAGAAAGTGGCAGGCACTAGCAGGGGAGGGGGGCGCTGGAGTCTTTGCATTTCCCTTCCACTCTGACTGTGTCTTCCTTACTCCCGCCGGAGAAAACACACACACTAACCGAGTCGCCAGGTGCCATTTTGCCCAGGCCTGGAAGGCTTCACTGGGATTCTATACGGCTCCCCTGCCCCCGCCTGGTGACATTCAGCAAGCGGTATTCATTCTGTACAAAGCTGTTTGCCGAATAAAAGGATATAAATCACCCATCCCCTTGGAGACTAAAACAGCCCAAACCGCAGCACTCTCCCAAGAAGCAGCCGATGAGGAAGAGCCGATGAGAAAGCCTCTGAGAGGGGAAGGGTGTGCTTCCCAACCGTCAGGCCTGTGCGGAAAGGAAGAGGAGGGAGAGAGCAGCTGCCACCTCGGCTGCTGGTCTGTGTCTGAGCATCATGAATGCTGTGACATTTGCTTTCAGAATTCGGCCCTCAGCGCTCTTGGAAGCTGACATCTCCATCCTTTTGTATCTTATTTTCACAGAAGACACATTCCAAGAAGGAATGTATTCTTACCAGGCCTTATCAAATGACAATAATAGAAGGCATTCTGAGCTCAAAGAGCCACACCCATTCCAGTGTTTACCTGCAAAGGTTTCGCTTTTGGTTTTTTTGAGACAGAGTCTTGCTCTGTTGCCTGGAGTGCAGTGGTGCAACCATGGCTCACTGCAGCCTTAAATTCCCAGGCTCAAGAGAACCCCTCACCTCAGCCTCCTGAAGAGCTGAAACCACTGGCATGTGCCACCACACCTGGCTAATTGTTAAATATTTTTGTAGCGATGGGGGTCTCACTGTGTTGCCCAGCTGGTCTCAAACTCCTGGCCTCACACAGTGCTCCCACCTCAGCCTCCCAAAATGCTGGAATTACAGGCATGAATCACTAGGCCCAGCCTGTTTGTTTTTAGAGAAGAAATCAGCCTCAGTTTCCTCATTAGTAAAATGCTGGTAAGAGTACCTGTCTCATATGAATCAAACGTTTTCAATGTACATGAAGTGCCTGATGCTTAGTAAGTTATCTGTAAATGTTAGCTCTTTCTTTTCTTTTTCTATTAGAGACAGGATCTCTCTTTGTCACCAGGGCTACTGGGCAGTGGCATGATCAAAGCTCGCTGCAACTTGAACTCCCGGGCCCAAGTGCTCCTCCTACCTCGGCCTCCTGAGTAGCTGGGACTACAGGCTAAATGTTAGCTATTTCATTATTATCTTTTCTACTTAAAAGCACAGACATTAGAACCCTCCACTCCCCGCCATCCCATTCCCCGCGCACAAGGAAACCTCCTCAAACATGACTCAAACTCAGGTCTACTAGGCAGACAATGAGAACTTGCTGGAACTTGCTGGGCTTTGCTGGGAAGGGGGTCAGCTCAATCTGGGGAGCATCCTGCAGCCTGAGGAAGCCCGGTCCAGAAGCTGAGAGTCACGCGGTGGCAGGCCAGCGGCAGGAGCCAGACAGCAGCCAGAGCTAGGGCCCTCTAGGGCTGGAAGCCTCTCCCTCTCGGTTTTCACATGGCTGGGGAATTTGGCTCTGCTCTATTTCCTTTCTGAAATGTTCGCTTCAGCAGGTTTAAAGTCCAGCGGATGGGGAACGTTCCATGCTGGCTGTGAGCGGCCTCTTTCTGGCCTGGATGATTTTTTCTGGTGTGAATCCCATGCACGTGGAGAGCATTGGTGTCTACCATCTCCATGAAATGCAGGAAGGCAGCTTCTGGGTTGAGCTGCCGGAAGAAAGCTTCCTGGGTGTTCCTTCCCTCCACTGCGTCTGCTCCATCCTTTGTTAAATTCCAAGACATATCAGGGTTTGACGTTTGGGTCAGATTTCATTATTTTATTTCCATGGAAATATGTTGGCCAGAGTATAACAGATTTGTTCTTCTTAGAGGACGTTTAGAAATGAAGACAGATTGTCTGTCAAATTCAACAGTCTGGAAGGCTCTGGCCTTTCATTGCTAGGAAGAAATCATTTGAGAATGTCCTGCCCACATTGCTGTGTATAATCTCAGTTACCTTATTCCTGAGGAATTCCCATGAGGAAGGGGAGAGCAGGCTGGGGCCCAGGCAGACCTTATGTGTCCGGAGGAGATAAAAAGAGGCCCAGGCAGGGATTGTGGCTCACACCTGTGGTCGCAGCACTTTGGGAGGCCAAGGCATCAGAATCACTTGAACCTAGGAGGTTAGGGCTACTGTGAGCTCTTACGGCACCACTGCACTCCAGCCTGGGCAAAAGAGACCTCATCTCTACAAAAAAATTTTTTTTAAGTAGCCAGGTGTGGTGGCGGGCACCTGTGGTCCCAGCTACTCGGGAGGCCAAGGCAGGGGAATCACTTGAGCCCAGGAGATGGAAACTGCAGTGAGTTGTGACCGTGCCACTGCACTCTAGCCTGGAAGCCTGGACAACAGAGTGGGAGCCTGTCTCAAAAAAGAAGAAAGAAAGAGAGAAAGAGAGAGAGAGAGGAGAGTGGGAGGAAGGGAGGGAGGGAGGGAGGAGGAAGAAAGAGAGAGATAGATAGAGAGAGACAGAGACCCAGTGCAGGCAGGCAGGAATAGAAGAGTTAGGGTCATTTCCACTGCTTTGGAAACGGTACACTGCCAGCACCAGAAGGCTGGAAGGAGAACATCTTCAAAAGTGGTGTCTTTGGGGTTATGGCCTTGACCCTTCACCTCTCCACTCTCTCCTGCCCCACTCCCACCACAGATAGACAAGGGATTCTCCTGAACAGTCAACAGTTGTGAGAGTTTAAGACCTACTTACTTCTGTAGCTGGAGACCTTGGGACCTTCAGTCCAGGATTGAGACTCCCTTTGGCTTCGTCACTTTGGCATATAAATTGGACTTTTATATAAAAATGGACCTACCTGCCACCCAGTCCTCCCCTGACTACTCAGGCCTTTGCTCTGGAGGAGTCAGTCTCCTCTGTGTGATAGCTGTGGCTGCAACAGGCCACTCGGACGTGGGCCTTCTAGAAGGGTCTTCCGGGGTGTCACTGTCTCCAGGGCAGGGCTGTCATATCTCCAGGAGGGCCGTTTGTGACCAAGCAGGCCGTGAAATATTATGCCAGCTCACACAGATCAGCATGTGCTGTGTGCCACAGGTGCTGTTCTGAGAGGCTTACATGCAAAACCTCGTTCCATCTTCACAGCGACTCCGGGAGGGACGTGCTGCTAATCTGTACCCAATGAAGGCACTGAGGAACAGAGAGGTTGGGGAGCTTGCCCACAGTCACAGAGCTGATCAGTGGCTGAGGTCTGAAGCCAGGCACAATGACTCATCACCTGAGCCCTTAACCCTGCACCATCCAGCCTCCGTGCGTCATTCCAGGACCCCTGTGGTCCGGTTGCTCTCACAGTCCTTGTCAGTCCCCCATCATGAATCATGACACTGAAGACCCCTTAGACAATCAGCTGGTCCAGCCCTCTCATTTTACCCTGGCAGAAACTGAGGCCCTGGGGAAAAGAAATGACTAGTCTCCTGGCCAGCGGCAGAGAAATTGAACAAAATCAGGTACTCTCCCACCTCTTACCTTGGCGTTATTTGCTATGCCCCGATCCTCTCAATTTGGGAAGAAAGCACAGCTGAGAAACTGATTCGTAAGTCTCAAGAGGTCTGAGCCAGATTTAGCTTCCTCTCTCTGGTGCATGTATATCTTAAAGGGCCGACGGATGGCTGTCTAATGATACAATTCCAGGCAGAATTAGTCGGTGGGGCAGGGAGGGGTCCTGTCCACTGACAGGCGGGTCAGCCCACACCTAATGAAAATGATCATGTATTAAGCCCTGTTGTATACCAGGAACTTCACACCCACTGCCTCCTTTAACACTCATAACACCCCTGCCCAGTAGATGTTCTCAGTGTTGTCTCCATTCTCAAGGTGAGGAAATGAGCCACCAAGAGGCTCCATGACTTGAAGTAACAGCTCCACGGCCTTTTCTTAATCCACCCACTGTTATTGGCATAGAGCAGTGCTTCCAAAAGGTGGTCCCTGGACCAGCAGCGTCAGCTTCACCTGGAAGCTTGTTAGCAATGCAAACTCTCAGTTCCCGCTCCAGGCCCACTGAATCAGACTCTGCGGCTCGGGGCCCAGCAATCCGTGCACTAATAAACCCGCCACGCAATTCCAATGCATCACTCAGTTTGAGACCCACCAGCAAACAGGGATGCTGCCGAGCCCAGCAAAAGAAAAATCAGCTCAGGGCTTCTAAATTGTAAGGGTAGTTTGAACTTAGTTCTTTGGGTACCTGAGTCTCAAGGTGTGAGTGGCAGCCAGCCCTACCCAGGCCCCCTCAAAAGAGAGTTTCTTCGTCCTCATGACATCACCAGGAACACTGGCAGATCCTGCATCAGCTTCCTTCTCTTCTATTTTCTTAGCCGCATCGCACTTTGCCAAAACGCCTTGACCTTTGTTGAGCATGTTATGAATTCTGACGAATAAAATAACTCTCTGGAGGATGGGGATATTTTTAATTGAATTGTAGAAGCCAACAACTGCCAAATAAAGCCAGGGTTTCTACATTCCGTGGCAATAGGTGGTTTAGATTTCCTTCCTAATCCTGAAACCTGGGCTTAGTCTCAGCCAGGAGCACGAGCTAGGGCTTCACCTTCCAGATCTTCGCCGTCTCTTCCAGCCAATTAAAAATCCCTGCTGCTACCATTACCTATTTTCAGCTCCCAACCAGTTCCTTTGTCTGCCAGACACTGTCTTGCTATCATTAAAAAAAAAAAAGAAGGTTGAGATGATGAAATTCATTTTGATCACAGGCGTGTAGGACGCTTCATTTCCCTGCAACACAAACTGATTCCACGCACAGATCAATGTTAACAAGCAATTTTATGCAAGATTGTACCTGTTTCTTCAGAGGCAGGGAACATACATCCTTTTTCCCCAACGCTTGTGAGGTATTTGCTGCAGACCTTGCAGAAGCTCACAGGAAAGAGGGGGAGGCCTTAGCAAAACCGGTACCACTCGTGATCCACGCGCCCGTCAGCAGCACCTCCTGAGACAGGTCCGGTCATGCCTGGCTGGAAGCGGTCTAATCGGTGCCCATTGCTCTAGTTCTCAGCACTCACTCACTTGCATGTGCAGTGGGAGGAAGGGGGCCTATGCCCTCCACACTGCCTCACTGCCTGGAGTCTGGAAGCCTCGGGGCCATTTGCAAGTCCATCACAGGTCTCGGTGTCAGCTCCAGATAATCTTGGCAGCAAAGCAGGCTGAGTAATCCTGGGCCGTTGGGTAGAACTTCCAAAGGCACAGGCCACTGAGGCTCCTTCTCCAGCTGCCGGCATGCAGTCATTCCTGGTCATCTCTCACTCACTCATTCATTCATCCCACAAAACAGTGATTGGGTGCCCATACACCAGGGAGGCAGAGATTAAAATAACTGCCCTATCTTGAAGGAGCCCGTAGCCTCGTGGGGAAGACAGGCAGGCAAATGTTATGACACAGGGAGATAAACGCAATGGTCGACAGAAGGTGGGTTCCGGGGACAACGGAGGTCAGGGAAGACTCCTAGAGAGGATGAGAGCTAAACAGAGACCTGCAGGGTTGGGGCTGGGCAGCAGGAAGAAATAACAGCATGCACCAAAGTGGGGGCGTGAGAGCCAGGCTGCAGGGGGGGACCATGCTGGGGAAGCGGCGAGAGAAGCTGGAAGCAGACAGGGCGTCTTTGCTTTGCTGAGAAACTTGGGTTTCACACTAGGGATGTGGGGAGCCCTGGGAGAAATGTGAGCAGGGACATGAGCTATGATGCCAAGTTAGCAGCCTAGAAGGATGGCTCTGAAGATGGTTTGGAGGCAGGGAGACTGGTGAGAAGGCTACTGCTGTTAACAGCCATGATGAGAAAGGATGAAGCCCTAAACTGCGGCTGTGGGCATGGGGAGGGGAGAAGTTGGCAGAGCCCAGGGCCGTGGAGAAGCAGCAGGGCCATGGCCCACGTGGGAGGGAGCCAGGCAGCCAGCGCACAGCCAGTGGTCTCCGAGCTGATGAGAATTCAGAATACGCGTGTGCTTCAGGCCCCCTGTGTTGGTACTCCATCTACCAAATAAACACGTACAGATTTTCCATTTCAGAGGCAGGGAGATGCTGGATTCAGGGACATTTCATCTGAAGAATCTATCAAACTAGACATTGTCAAATATTTACTCAAGCAAGTTAGACTGTTAGCTAGCTAGAGCCACTGGAATGGGGGCAGCCACTAGCATGGGGGCAGCCACCTGGACAGTGGTTGTTGAGAGGGGGATAGGGCCCAGTTTCAGGTCAGTGAGGAGGGGCAGCTGCAATGGATGAGGGGCTCCTCCAGAGGAAAGAGTCCACCTGGGGAGGGAGGGTGATGGAAGCCAAGAAGACGGTGTTTCCAGAAGGGAGCAATTAACCATGTCGATGCTGCCAAGGGGCTGGGATGAGGACAGAGATAGGCCGTTGGATTTGGCCACATAGCAACCAGCAATGGCCGTGACAAGAGAAGTGTTAATGGTGCCTGGGGTTGGATGCTTGAGTGGAGCAGGTTGAAGAGTGAATGGAGAAGAGGAAGTGGAGGCAGCAAAGAGGAGAGAAGAGAGGCAGTGTCTAGAGAGCAACGAGGGCTCAAGGCAGGGTTCTGATTTGTAAGATGAAAAAGACAAGCACTTGGGTGCTCCTGAGGATGATTCAGTAGAGGGGAGGCGTGGTAGCTATCTGAAAGAACACCTCAAACTTCGTGTGCCCCAAGATGGAGACTCCGTCTCTCCAGCATGTGTCTGCACCATGATACACTCACACTAGAGAACGGTACCTCCAGGCCCCTGGGTGCTCCTGAGATGATTCAGTAGAGGGGAGGCACGGTAGCTATCTGAAAGAACACCTCAAACTTCGTGTGCCCCAAGATGGAGACTCCGTCTCTCCTCCAGCGTGTGTCTGCACCATGATACACTCACACTAGAGAATGGTACCTCCAGGCCCCTGGGTTCTCCTGAGATGATTCAGTAGAGGGGAGGCACGGTAGCTATCTGAAAGAACACCTCAGACTTCGTGTGCCCCAAGATGGAGACTCCGTCTCTCCTCCAGCGTGTGTCTGCACCATGATACACTCACACTAGAGAACGGTACCTCCAGGCCCCTGGGTGCTCCAGCCAGAGCTCCAGGATGCACCAGTGATGCCTCCCTTTCCTCACTTCCCACATTCCCTGCACCTCGAGTCCCATCTGTTCTTCCTCTAAGATGCAGCTGGATCATTCATTCAGTTTGTTTCCACTGCTCCTGCCTTAGCCCAAGCCCCATTATCTGTAGCTTGGACCTCTGCAGTAGCATCCTAACTGGGCCCCTGCTTCTGTCTTCTTCCCTGCCCCTCTGCCATTCATTTTCTCTCCAACAGCCAGGGAAATCTTCTTAGAACAAACAGGACCCTGTCGCTCCTCTGATCATACCCTCTATTGTGTCCCAGTGCATTCAGGATAAACTCCCAAATCCTTCTCATGACCCACAAAGCTGACAGACTGAGCCCTGGCTGCTGCCCCACAGTCACCATTCTCCCTGTTACTGTCTGCACTGCAACCTTGCGGACCCTGCCTAGGTCCTTGAAGCTCCTCCCTGCCGTGAGCCTTTGCATATGCTTCCTCCCTTAGCCCACCTGACAGCTCTCCCCTCTCTCCTTCCTTTGGCCACCTCCTACTCATCTTTCAGGCCTCAGCTCAAATGCCATGTCCCCAAAGAGTCCTTTCCAGACATACAATATAAAATATATCTCCTTTGTCCTCTCCTGGAACCGTCGTTTCCCTACATAGAACTCATCATGACTATAGGTAAAGAATTATTTTTGACTCTGTGTTCAATGCCTGTCTCTCCCACCAAGACAGAGACTGTGTTGCTGGCCACTTACACCAGGTCCCGAGCACAGCCTTGCACACGGGGCCACTCAGTGCTCGTTGCTGAAAGAGTCAACCAGCCACTGCCACAGGGCACAAAAAGCACCAGAAAGGGGAAGGCAGGAGGTCAGCGATATGGACCCTGCTGTGGGCTCCAGGTGCCCAGGCCAGCTCTGAACCTGCAGGGTGACCACAGAGCCCCCGTGCTGACTGCCCACGCATGCACCAAGAGGCTCTCCTGTGTAACTGTGTCCACGGGCTTCTCCTTGGCCTCTCACAGGTCCCCACCAAGCCATCTGGGTAAGATCACAGCCCCTAGGAAGACATGCATTAGTGCCAGCCACTGAGCAGCAGAGAGCCAGGGAGAGGTGAGGGAGAGGAGGGCACAGGGGACCACCTGCCCCAGGAGATGTCAGCAAGGAATGAGATGTGTGCAGCACGCCTGTAGGGCTGGCTGTCTAGTGTACTTCAGTCTCATATGTAATAAAAACATAATGGTACAATGGTTCATATTGCACAAGCTTGAGAAGATGAGGTCATTGCACACATAGTGAAGCACTTAGAGCCATACTCAGTACAGAGAGCTCAGAGGGAACTCCCCCGACTTGAGTAAGGGACCTCCCTGCCACCCCACACACACACAGGAGTGAAGAGAAGAGAGCCCAGTGGGGCAGGGAGAGGCCTCACAAGATTAGGAAGCTGAAAGCCTGCTCTCCCTAGCTGTGGGAGCATGGGGCCAGCCCTACGTGGCATTAGTTTTGTCTTCTGTAAAATGGGGAGATGATACACCAGAAAAGACCACCCGGGAATGTGTGGTGCTCTTTACCTTAAAGATGACCAATGAGGAGAGATGACTCCAGGCCACCCTGGGTGGAGGCTGCAGCATGGATTTGGTAAACTGCCCACACTCAGCTCCCCAAGAGGATTCCAGGGCAGCAAAGAAGGCTGGAAAGTGGGAATTAGGAGTGCTGGTAGACACTGCAAAATAAGAGAAGCAGCAGGACAGAGAGTGAGAGAAGGGGAGGGAGCAAAAGAGGGCACGGTGCAAGCAGAAGCTTATGCTCAGGGAGTGAACAGAGGAGGCTCATGCTGTAGAGGGCCGAGGCTTATAGGTGCTTCCAGGGGGACACGGACCCTGGAATGAGCAGGGCTTATGGTAGACAGCACAGTCCCACCCCCAGCCACCTTCCCCAGGATGACACAGGCCCCATCAGGAACGCAAACAGTGATCAGTGATTCCCCCTAGAGGAGGGTGGGGATGAAGCCACCAGCCAGCCAGGAGTGCTGCTGCGGGTCGTCTGCCCCCTGCCGTTGGGAGCGTCTGCAGTGCTTCAGAGATGGCCCGTGCCTCCGGGTGCCAGTCCTGAGAGGTCACCTGGTCCAACCCCCAGCTCTCCAGTGAGGAAGTGCCTTCCTCAGGCAGGAGGGTAGAGTGTCCCACCACTCAGCACAGCTTCCTCCCTTCCAGCTAGGGATTTCACAGCCAGAAAATGTCATTTTTTCCCCCAGGGTCTGAGAAACCCAGAATAGCACCTGTTCATGAAACACAGATACCCTGTGGTGGCAAATGCAGTGAGGGGAGGAAGGCAGGACGGCAGGTGCATAGCCAGGGGAAGAACTACATCTGTTTATGCCTCCATCCACCCCTCCCTCACCACCCCCATGCAAAAGCAGCCCCGATAGCCAGGTGGGGACACATGCCCCTAAGGACGGCTGCCTGGTGGCCTGTGAGTTGCTGGACTCACTTTAAAAGCCGCAGTGAGGCCTACCCTTGCACTCAGCTCAGTCTTTGGTTTCACAATTTAGGAACAACCGGGAGATCTTGCAGAGAATGCTGATTCCCAGGACTTGCCCCCAAATATTCTAATTTGCTGGGTCTGGGGTGGGGTCCAGCGAGCTGCATTTTAACAAACCACCTTATGACTCCGCTGTGGGGTCCTGAGAGCACACACTGGAAGATGTTGGATGAGAGGCCCTTCCAGCTCCACAGCCCAAGTGTCCACCCCTGCAGCCCTCCCCGCTTCGAGGCCCACGAGGGGTGTATTCAACTCCCATTCTGTGGGCCGACTTTTCAACCTGGCTGCTTCCCCCATCCCGGTCCTTGGCTCTCAGGCTCTCAGCTCACTACCGGGGCTTTTAGCAGCAGACTTGAGTGAGTGAACGGCTGCTTGTCACCTGAGTGAAGGGCTGGAAACTAGGCCATCGTGCTTGGCTGGGCAGATGCCACCCTCACCAGCTGCTCCCGCTGCCTCTGCGGCAGCCTGCCCCCACAGTGCCCTGGGCCTCCCAGCACCCCCACCATTGCAGGGTGAGACCTGGTCCATAGCCCTGGGGCAGAAGGCACTCAGAGAGAGGCTCTGGGAGGAACGTGGATGTGGGAAGCCGGGTGCCAGGACCTCAGCGTTCAGAAACAGGGAAGGGGTGGGGTGCACGACAGATGGGGGCAAGTCCTGGGGAGCAGCAGGATGGCACTCAGAGGGACCAAGGGCCGTTCTGGGGCCCTGAGGACCCAGGCCTCTTTCTTGGCCTCATAAGAGTCAGCGCCCCTGGGCTGAGAGGGTGGCATCTGGCCGCTCCATGCCGCCCCCACCACAGTCCGCGGTGCACTTCACATCTTCATCTCTACCAGACTTCTTCTGTCTCTTCCTCTTCCCCTCCTGTCCCTTCCTCTCCTCGTGCCTCTCTGTCTTTCCGCCTTCCTCCCTGTCTCTGTTTTTTGCTTGTTCTTTATCTCAGTCTCCGGTCTTGCTCCCTTTTTGCGATCTCTCTCCTGCCTTTTCCTCCTTGCCTGTCCCTCCCTTTCTCTCCTTGCTCTCTGTCGAATTAGACTTTCCTTGTCCTTCGCTGCCCCGCCCCATCTCTCTGGCCCACACGCTCTGACCCCCTTGCTGCGTGACCATGCTGGTTCACCTCCTCCAGGCTCTCTCTGTACTCATCGGACCACAGCCTCTTGGTCACCAGCCCTGGACAGTGTCACTGTGTGGCTCTGTTGTGCCCAGTTGCTGACTCCTGATGGGCTGGGCTACAGGAACACACGGATGTGGCCGCATAGGGCCTTTGGCACTCACGTAGGGCTGCAAAGGGTGCAGGGTGGAGGTGAGGAGGGCCACCGGGAAATCAGAGCAGCCTCTCGCCTGGCTGGCTCTGGAGGCCCCTGTTCCCCAGCCGTCAGCTCAACCTCAAATGCCCTGATCCTGGTGCTGCCGATTCTCATGCTTGGGCAAGATGCTGGCCTCCACCCCAGCCCCACCCTCACCTGCCCACTGTCCCGGCCAGCAAGCCTGAGAGGAGTGGGCTTTGACCAAGCCAAGGACAACTCATAGCCTGAAGATGGCCATGGGCCCTGCCTACGGGAGAGAGGCGAAAAGGAAAGAGGAGGAGAGACTCCCAGCTCCCTCTCGGCGCCCCCTCCCTTTCTAAGAGTCTTCGGTGATGCACTTTTCTCCTTGTTCTCCCCAGAAACCTGTGGGAGGCGGAGTCCATGGACCACCAGGCCCTGACCACCTCCACTGTGGCGTCTCCCCTTGTTTTCTCCTAAAAACTGACGGCAGAGTTGGGGGTCTCCAAGTCTTCTAGGCAGTGGGCACGAATGGAAGCTGAGGTCATGGAGGAAGTGGGTCCACCTCAGAGCTCATGTCACCATCACAGGGCCACTCAGCAGGCGTTTTCTGTGCTCTCGATGTGGTGGGCAGGCAGGCCAGGGGACCATGGGAGCAGAGTGGGACTGCTTGCCGGCAGTGGGCAGTGTCAGGGGCAGTGCAGGGGCTGTGCCATAGCCAGTGGGAGGAGACTAGGGTGAGTGGGTGTAGAGTGGGCAAACGTCAGCTCCAAGAGCCCAATCTAACGCGCTTGGTCTGCGTCTCCCAAAGGGAAAGCAATGCCCAGGGGACATTGGGTCCCCTGCTTTTCCAGGCCTGGACTCCTGCCTTGCTGCACATGGCCCTGGGGACAGGGCACCCCAAAGGAGGGTGAGGCAGGGTGAGGGGACTGGGAGGGTTCGGCCTCAGACCCTGCAGTGCAGAGTCCCCTGGATCGGGCTAGACCAGAGGAAGGCGCCTGCTTAGCTGGGGGGAACTGGCATGTGACCCCACACCCCCACCCACACACACTGAAGCTCGGGATGTTCACAGGCAAACCCCCCAGGGTTGGAGGCAGCATTTCAGAGGTAGCAAGGCCCTTGGGGAGCAGGGACTCCAGCCTCCTCCCTTTTCAGAAGGTCACACAGAGGCCCCAGGAGTGAGTGGGCAAGCCAGAGTCACACCAAGTTCGCAGGAGGGCCCAGACCAGAATCTGACCCTGCGTGTCACGCTGTCCCCTCACGTTAGGCACATTTGTCATTTACTCTTAGGCTGTGCCTCCCATCACAGCCTCCCCTGAGGGCTGGGGCAGCTGGGGGGAGCTGGGGCAGCTGTGGGGAGCTGGGGCAGCTGGGGGGAGCTGGGCTGCAGAAAGCCCCAGGGGCTTGAGGGGCTCTGCTCCTAACTGTTCAGCCTACAGCAGAAGGGATCCAACGGAGGACTCAGCCCCCTCAAGACCTAAATGAGAAAGTGAAATTTAAACCTGGGAGAAACACAGGCTCCTAGCGGGTCTCTGAAAGAACAGAAGAATCAATATGTTTACTGTATTATTTATGCTGAAAGCTTTGCTTGGGGTACTCTGAGGTTAAGAAGGAAGGAACTGGGATTTGGAGTTGGAAGATCCGAGTTCAGCCTCCCTCCACCCCTGTGTCCTGGGCCACCAAAGCCTCTCCTGGCCTCAGGGTTTGGGTTCCGAAAGGGCTACTGTGGCAGGTGGGAGGAGATGGTCCTCTTGGGGCATTAAAGGGCGACCCCCGGGGGTGAGTAGCCTGAGGGGCCCTGCACCTGTCCTGGCTGGGAACAGAGGCCAGCGAGAATGGGTGTTGGAGGGTGCTTAGGGTGCCACCTGACCTCACACCCTCCCTGCCTGCCCTCAGCTGCGTGGTGGACGAGATGGACTTCTCCAGCATGGAGCTGGACGAGGCCCTGCGCAAGTTCCAGGCACACATCCGTGTGCAGGGGGAGGCTCAGAAGGTGGAGCGGCTCATTGAGGCCTTCAGGTAAGGCCGCTTCCCAGCTCCACTCCCCAACAGACCCCAGCGTGGGGAAGCCGGGCCGCTGTGAGCCTGGGAGACAGGAGATGCTATCAGGAGGGTTGGACATTGGGCCAGAAACACCCCTTCTGGTGTGGGCAGGAGGATGGCTGGGGAGAAACAAGGGAAGGGAAGAAAAGGGACCGACCCCTCGAGCTCCCCAGGCTGGAAATGTGGGGCATTTGGGGGTGTGGGGAAAAAGACCAGAGTATGGGACAGACACTGGTCTCCCTGGACCTAAAGCCTTCGGAGAGCTGGGATACCCCCTGGACACCCCCTTCCTTTGTTGGGCCCGGGGGAGGGTGGGCGGGGGCTCAGCGTCCGCTCTGCATCTGACCCCCCCACAGCCAGCGCTACTGCATGTGCAACCCCGAAGTGGTTCAGCAGTTCCACAACCCCGACACCATCTTCATCCTCGCCTTCGCCATCATCCTCCTCAACACCGACATGTACAGCCCCAACATCAAGCCTGACCGGAAGATGATGCTGGAGGACTTCATCCGAAACCTTCGAGGTGAGGAGGTGGGCACTGGGGCAGGAGGGGCAAGGCCACGGCTCAGGCCCCATTCTGTGCACCGTGCATTCTGTGAGTCTGAGCCCCTATCACAGATGGTCACCTGCTGTCTGGGCCTGGTCACCCATAGCAAGCTGGGAACATTCCTTGTGAGCCAGGCGGCTGGGGAGTTTCCGGCATGCAGCCTGCCACCGCCACCGCTCTACCAAACAGCAAGCGCCCTTGGGCAGTGCCTCTTGCCCTCCGTGGAACATGGTTGGCCTCTAGGCCCCTGACACCAGAGCTGGCGGCTCAAGTGGTGCCAGCCCTTCCCCTCCACAACTTACAAGGAAGGAGCCAGGAGCAGGGCCCTGGGTCCATTTAAGTCAGCCTTGCAGATAACTGTATGGCACCAGCTGGCAAGTCCTTCTCTCATCGATGCAGCGCACTGCCTGGCAGGGAGCAAACCAGGACTGGCAGAGTGTGATGTGTGCGCAATTGTTTTTTTTTTTTTACCCGTTAAAAGAATCAAAGTTATACATCCACATAATTTAATAAAGTCAAATAATCCTACAAGGCTTATCATAGAAAAAAATTAGTCGCTGCCCCTCTCACCACTCACCTTCTCCAGAGGCAACCACTTTTGACTTTTTTAGCTATTTGCGTTTCTTCTGTATCGATAAACCGCAGGCTTCTGCTTCGCTTTTTTCTATCTCTTTTTTTAACTGGCATAAAGTCCAGACTGTGAGTGTGTAAGCCTGAAGTTTGATGAATGTGTACGGTCACGTGCACTGTGTCATCACACCTGGATCCTGATCTGGATCATTTTCACCTGCCCAGAATGTTCTCTCCTGTCCCGTCCCAGTCAATGCCTTCGCCCAAGAGTAACAACTATTCTGCCTTTTATCACCATTTGACGAGTCCTGCCAGTCCTTGAACTTCATCTAAATAGAGCTATACAGTATTTATACTTTGGTATCTGGTCTCTTTTATACACTGCTCCTTGTTAATTATTATTTCTGTTGCCCAGGCTGGAGTGCAGTGGTGCAGTCTCAGCTCACTGCAACCTCCACCTCCCAGGTTCAAGTAATTCTTATGGCTCAGCCTCCCAAGTAGCCGGGATTACAGGTGTGCACCACCACACCCAGCTAATTTTTATATTTTTAGAACAGATGAGGTTTCACCATGTTGAACAGACTGGTTTTGAACTCCCAACCTCAGGTGATCCGCCTGCCTCAGCCTCCCAAAGTGCTGGGATTACAGGCATGAGCCACCACGCCTGGCCCTTGTTAATTATTTTTATTTTAAGCATGATCTATTAATTCCCCATTATAGAATGTAAGGATTTAGCCCTCTTTCATCCACCTTCCCTGACCCATCCCACTCACGTCAGTGCTCATGTTATTAGGGCTCTGCACACACACTCCAAAGCTGAGTCTGCAAGTGCAGAATGATTGCAACTCCCTTCATCTATACTTTCCTTGGAGTTAATGCTTCTCTTTCCATTTGCTTAACTCTCTGAGGACCTCCCCTGATTCAGCCCCCACTTCCCACCCTACGTATCAAGCTCCTCTCCATATGTCCAGACCTGGGAGGTGGTGCGGGAGAGTCATCTTCCGGGAGCCTCTGGTCCTGCTCCAGTCTGGACAGTGGCTGGGCCAGGGCACAGCCTGCATCCTGGGCCCTCCTTCCCTTGCTCTCATGACAGATTCCTGGTTCCTGCATGTCAGAGCTTCCTCATTTTTAGTTTACTTTCAGAGAAAAGGCCATTTTTGAGAACTTGCATTTCTGAATGTATCTTTTTCTGTCTTTGCCCTTGGTTGGGAGTTTGGCTGGGGATAGAATTCCAGCCTCAAAACACGCCAATCAGGATTTCAAAGGCATTGCTGCTGCATTGTCCTTTAGCTGCCAGTGCTGCTCTGCCATCCCAGCTGCTGGCCTTTTGTCTGTTACTCTTTCTCTCTCTCTGAAAGCTTGCAGGGTCTTCTGTCTGCCTTCGTGTTCTGGATGTTCACGATGATGCATCTTGCTACAGTTCTTCTTCCATCCATCATGCCCAGGGCTGGACTGGTCCTTTCCATCTAGAAACTCATGTCCTCCGGTCATGGGAAGTTTTCTTAAATGTTGTATTTGATCATTTCTGCCCTCCAATTTCTCTGGACTCTCTTTCTTGAACTCCTGCTATTCTGTTGGTGGATCTCCTAGTCTGATCCTCGTAACTTTTATAGTTTTCTACCTGCCATCTTTGTTTACTTCCTTGACTTTCTGGAAAGTGTCCCTCAGTGCCGTCTTTTGTGTCTCCTACCAAGTTTTTCATTCCTGCTGTCATATTTTTCATTCTCAATAGCTCTCTTTTGTCCTCTCAATGTTCCTCTTTTATAGCATTTTATTCTTGCTTTGTAGATGCAATATCTTCTCCCATCTCGGTGAAGATGTTAATATTGGTTTGTTTGTTTGTTTTTCTCTCTGTTTGCCTCTATTTCTTCTGGAGTCCTTTTTTCTGTTTTTTTTTTCCCCCATATTTCTTTCTCTTTCCTGGTATAGACTTTCCAAATGCAGTTGATGAAATCTGGTTGTTCATTCATATTTAAGAGTGAGCCACCAGAAAGCGGATGAATGACTCTGTGAACACAGGTGGAGGCTGCTGGCTGGTGAGCTTTCTTGTAGGGTGATTTACTTAAGGCATTTCACCGGGAGACCCTACTGCAGTATCTGGAGATATTTTTTTCTTGTTCTGCCTGATACCCAGAAGATAAATGTTCAATCTGTTGCCCAGAATGTATGATTCTGGCTGCCAGAGTTCTGAGATCTTTAAGTGGGAAGTGGAGTTGAGGGTTAATATATAGGTTATCAACTTCATCCCCCAGTATTCAGCAGAGTCCCGGCTTGGCTGGGTGTGGGGTCCCTCATCTCAGAGTTCCAGAGAATGGACCCCCAGTCTTCTGCTGGAGTGAGGAGGGGATAGGGAAGCCCAGCAGCTTTCTAACCCGTTTTCAACCTGTTTTCCAATTCCCAGCCCACCTTCACCTTCGCTTTTAGGGGCTGCTGTTACCACCAGCTCTAAGCCCTTTGGTGGCTGTGTGGTGTTTGAGTGGCTTCTAACCTCTCTGCTGGTCTGGGTTCAGCTTTCTCAGGTTTGCTAAATCCATCCACTTATTTATCCACTTGCCAGGTCCTGGGGTGCCTGTGCCCCTGTTCTCTGTCTTTGTGGGTGTATGCTTTTCTAAAAGATTCCTTTCTCCCGAGTATTCAGAAGCAGCAGAGGCATGCAGCCTGCCACCTTGAACTGGGGGCATCCATACACTCAGCCTTTCTCCTTGGTTTTTCTCACCCGCCGCCTGATTTCTTTCAGCCTCCTTGGCTGCTGCATGGCTCATTTGCCTGACTTCGAGAACCAAGATCAGACGTGGAAGAGACCAGAGCAGGCCGGGAGCTGCGTGTGGAAGGCGGGGTGTCCTTTCAGTAGCTGGGAACACTCCTTTGAGAGATGCTTGCCAAAGTTGTTTTATTTTTAATTTTTCCCTCTTATAAAAGAAGCGTATAGTCATTAAAGAAAGATTTGGAAATAGTAGAAAGAAGATATTTTAATCGCCTGTTTCTCCAAAAGAAACGTGTTTTCTTGTTGGCATATTTCCTGCCAGTGTTTTTTTGTTGCCCGAGTTTTATCATTACTATGAAGCAGGAGGTGGGACAGGGGTGTCCTCGCCTGCATTGCCAGGGGTCTGCCTGCTCCCCCACTGCTCCCAGTGAGGGAGGAATCTCTTCAAAGACTAAGCCCTCAATGCCATGCTCCCTACTGGAGGGGAGAGGAGAGCCCAGCAGGAGGAAGATCCAAAAGAGAACGAAACAGAAGCTCCTTATGATGCTGGAGTGGTGGGGTGGAGCTGGGGGGTGAGACGAACACAAGGAAGACGACAGAACTGCAGAGGCGCACAGGGTTAGCAGGAACATGGAGGCTGTATCTGCCATCAGGAAAGAGGCCTGGGAGGTGGGCGTGAAGACTCTGGTTGGGGAACATCAGGAGGTGAGGCAGGAGATGTGTGTTGGGGCCATATCATTAGTTTTGGTGCCTGGCTAAGGAACTTGTTCTTAATTGAATGGGTATGAGGCACCAGCCATTGAAGGCATGGCAAGAACCAAGGCCACCCCCCGGGAGCTCCAGGCTGGATGGGGGTCTCTTCTGTCTGGCTCCAGGGCTCTGACACCCTCCCTCCCAACCCCACCACCACCCCTGCCCACTCCACGTTGTTAGGTGTGGACGATGGCGCTGACATCCCCAGGGAGCTGGTGGTAGGCATCTATGAGAGGATACAGCAGAAGGAGCTCAAGTCCAATGAGGACCACGTCACGTACGTCACCAAGGTGGAGAAGTCCATTGTGGGCATGAAGACAGTGAGTGTCCACAAGCTACCTATCTCCCGTCTCCTTTCCTTTCTTTCTTCCTGGCATCTCTTCCCATTCTCCTTCTTACCTTTCCAAAACTCTTTTTTCATATTCATTCACATGATAGTTATGAAGTACCTACTGTGTGCCAGACACTGCATCTCTTTTTTTTTTTCTTGCCTGATTTCCTCATTGCCTCTTGCCACCCGATACTGCAGCAGGAGAGACGGAGATGAGATGTCAGGAAGGACTGCCCAGTGGTCTAGGGTGGAAGCATCTGGGTGGCCAGATGAGATTTAGTATCCCTTTCCTAGGACAGCATGACTACCAGGCATTCCTGGATGGTCCTGATGAGTGGAAGGCAGGAAATGGGCTCAATAGGCTCCAGGCTGTGGCATCACCATAGATTTGTCCTATTGGTAGTGACCTGTGTCCCAGGCAGCATGTTCCAAGCCTGCCATGATTTTTAAAGTGGGACTTCTCTGTAGGCTACTACACTTTATACTATAAAGGATGTCATGGGGGTTCCAGTTCCTCCTCCTCATATTCTTGCCTCAGGGGACGGTGTGGGAGAGTTTGGAGATCTCTTCTGAGGCCCTGCACTGGGCTCCCTCCTCCCAGTCTGTGCAGGGACAGGCTTTTCTGCTTTGAGAGCCTTTATTGCTGAGGTCTCAGCATCTGTCGGGTTGCAAGCGACTGGTTTGTCTTACACGCTGGAGTAGATGCCAGGTGTCTCTGTGATCCCTTCGCTCTCGCACACCTGCATCTCTGCAGTATAGAAAGGGTGGAGGTGTCATATCTGCAGGCCGCAGCCTGGGGCAGGGGATGCCCTCAAGGTTACGGAGGGAAGCAGGTTGACAGTGGCTGGACTGGAACAGCCTGCAAGCTCTTCTCAATTTCCTATTCCTGTCCCTCTATCCCCTCATTTACTGTGGCTCAGTGGGCCCCTTCTCTGGCCGTGCTCCCCAAGAAGCATGACAGGGATGAGCCCTGGGACAGGGGGTGAACGTGCGAGGGAAAGAGCCTCAGACGAGGAGAGAGAAGGATGAGAGTCAAGTCCAGGCCCCAGGACAGAACCGGAGCCCCTCCCCTCCCTCTCCACAAAACCGAACCCCTCCCCTCTCCTCCCTCCACAGAACCGGAGCCCTCCCCTCCCCCTCCACAGAACCGGACCCCTCCCCTCCCCTCCCTCCACAGAACCGGACCCCTCCCCTCCCCTCCCTCCACAGAACCGGACCCCTCCCCTCCCCTCCCTCCACAGAACCGGACCCCTCCCCTCTCCTCCCTCCACAGAACCGGACCCCTCCCCTCTCCTCCCTCCACAGAACCGGGCCCCTCCCCTCTCCCGGGCTGTCTCCTCTTCTGGAAAATGGGCGCGTGGGTGGGGAGGCCTCCAGGCCTCTGGTCTCTCCCGCTGAGCGCCCTGCCCGCGTGCAGGTGCTGTCCGTGCCCCACCGCCGCCTGGTGTGCTGCAGCCGGCTCTTCGAGGTGACGGATGTGAACAAGCTGCAGAAGCAGGCAGCGCATCAGAGGGAGGTGTTCCTCTTCAATGACCTGCTGGTGGTGAGTGGCCTCCGCTCCGGGACTGGGCTGGGCTGGGGCTGCCTCTGCCGCCCTGGTCAGCCTGGGCAGGGTCCCTGAAGTGGGCAGGAAAGGACGCCCAGAGCTTTCAGACAGAATGCCTGTTCCGTGGGACGGATCTGCCTTCATGGTGCTTTCACACCGTGGGCGTGAGGGGGCTCAGGCAGACATGCTAATTCCTACCTCATAAGTCATGACACCGAGACGTCAGATGATCTGCTCGTGGTTGCACAAACTGTTAACGAACTAGTTCCCAGACCACTGGCCTCTCCACGTTACAGGAAGCCCAGGACAGGGAGTGCACAGGGCTGTGCCTCAGACCCCAGGGCCTGGGAGGAGCAGGGCCTAGGCGGAGCATGCTCTGTCCCTGGGCCTAGGCGAGGCTGGTGTGTGTGTGTGCGTGCACACACATACACACATCTGTACCCACAGATACTTTTTTTGCTCTTTGAAAAGAAGTATCCATTCAACAAATATTTGATCAGCGTTGACCATGTGCCAGGCATCATTGTAGGTCTGGAAAACTGGTGAGCAGGACTGGAGCAGGGCTTGTGTCTCCCTCGCACCGGCCCTCTCTATCCATGAGCCACGTTGGCACTGCCTCCAAAGTGATCACAAGCCTGAACCACCTCTCACCACCTCCACTACTACAGTCTTAGTGCACGCCTGGTACATTCAGTGAACCACATCAGCCTCCACACGGCTCTCCCCACCCCCCTGAGAGCAGCAGCGTGATCTCTCTGGAGTGCACATCAGGCCACGTGTCCCCTTTCCCTAACCTGCCTCCCCGCCCTCTCCTCAGCCCTGGGAGGCGCCTCCCTCCTGTGGGCCAGGCCTTTGTACTTGCTGCTCCTTCTTGCAAAGCTCCTCCAGACCTTGCACTCTCCTCTTGCCTTCCTGGCCTCCTCCTTTTCATTCAAGTCTCAAATCACTTTTGATTCCTTACCCTGTTTCATTTTCTTCAAAACACGTAGCACTTTGGTTTTGTTTTTTTGCTGTTATGCTTTATTGTTTGATCACCTGATGGACACTGTGACACTCCACATTCCATAAGCACCTTAAGGGCAGGGGCTCTGTCCTGAGTTCTCCTGTATCTCCAGGGCTCAGCTCACAGAAGCTGCTGAATAGAAATTTGTTTATTAAGCAACCAGATGACTTTACTAAAACGAGCTTTCATTTTAGTAGGGGAGGGAGATAGAAAATAATTAAGAAACAGACAAACAAGATAATATCAGATTGGGGGAAGGCACTATGAAGGCCACAAACCAGGTGATAGTACAGAGAGTGACTGGAGTTAAGGGCCAGGTTTGGGCTTGCTTTGGTTTGTTTTTTAGAGGAGGTGATCCAGGAAGGCATCTCTAAGGAGGTAGCATTTGAGACTTAAGTAATGAGAGTAATGCAGCCGTGCAAAAAGCTGCCGGGAGAGCTGTGGAGTGGGAACAGTGTATGCGAGGGGCCCACAGTGGAACTGAGCTTGCCCTTCTCAAGCTACAGCAGGGAGGACACTTGGGCAGAAGGCCAGAGTAAGGCAAGGACCACATCAGGTGGGTTTTACAGGCCAGCTCAGGCGCCGTGGCTTGGCTTCTAAGTACAGAGGGAATAACCACTGTAGGGTTTTGTGCAGTGAAGAAGCACATTTTGGGATAGTGTGTGCACATATATGTATATCTGTACCTGTATGTGCACATTCATCACTGCGTGGGTTTGTGTGATCGTGCATCCCCCGGGTGTTTGTGCATCCATGTGTCCGTGAGTGTCTGTTCATCAGGGCATGCCTGTTTCCCTCTCCTGAACAGATTCTCAAACTTTGCCCGAAGAAGAAGAGCTCCTCCACGTACACCTTTTGCAAGTCAGTTGGCCTGCTGGGCATGCAGTTCCAGCTCTTTGAGAACGAGTGTAAGTCTTTGACAGCCAGTGTAAGTCTTTGAGAAGGAATGAATGGATGAAATGGCTGGGGCGAGTTGAGGGAGAAGGGCTGGACAGCAGAGTGGGTGGAGGCATGAGACCCCGTGCCCTCCTCATGTCTGGCTGGCTCTGGCCCTCGGCTGCTGCTGCTCACAGCCCACTGGGGGCCTGGGGTCTGCTTTCCAGATTACTCTCATGGCATCACACTGGTGACCCCGCTCTCGGGCTCCGAGAAGAAGCAGGTGCTGCATTTCTGTGCCCTGGGCTCGGACGAGATGCAGAAGTTCGTGGAGGACCTGAAGGAGTCCATTGCTGAGGTGACGGAGCTGGAGCAGATCCGAATAGAGTGTAAGGACACGGGCTCCCGAGGCAGCTGGTGGGGGTTCCCATTCAGCAAGGGACAGGGGCAGCTTGAGACAGACATGCCTGACTCCAGGGAGCTGGCCCCACTTCGGACCCTCCCCGTGTCCAGGCCCCACCGCACCACACTCCCACAGCCCGGGTGGGAGCACCGGTTCCCATGTTTCTTCACAATTAAAGTGAGGCTTGCTAGAGTGCACACACGTGTGTACACAGATCAGCAGGCATGTGGGGCTGCGCGTGGGCCTCTTGGAACAGAGAGCTCTGCTGTTTTACCAGGATGACCAAGCGAGCTGGCCAGGCAGGCCCATGGGGCTCTGGTGCGTTCCTTCCCACCAAACCGTCTGCTGTCACCTCCCCCACTGTGGCCCAAGTCTGTACACTGCATCTGGTTGGCCTCATTTCTTCACTCTCTTTTAATCTTGAATCATCCCTCCACTTCATTTTTTTTAAAACATTGTCCTTTTGAAGAGTCTAGGCTGCCTTCTTACTATCCCGCATCTTACAGTAGTCTCTGTTCCTATAAGGAATGCTTAGATTCTAGATTGTTCCATTCAGGCATTTTAGAGAATATGTGGGTCTCTTTCTGTGTCCAGGTGGTTTACTGGCTGCTGTGGGGTTAAGGGAAGAGAGGCAAGGGCCTGCAACCTGTACCCATCTGCAAGCTTGTCCTGATTAAGCATCACGGAGGCGCCAGATAGCCTTTAAGGGAAGACTAAATAAGAACAGATTCAGAAACTGAAACAGAAAATGAAAATAGGCTTCAGGCCTGCCTCTATGGCCACTTAGTTATAAAGTGTTTCTGAACTAATATCTGTCCATTAGGCGCTAGGAAAGGCAGGGAGAGTTTTTGAGCAGGGGATGAATGTGACAGGCTGGTGCTTTTGAATCATCATTTTTGAGGCTCCTACTACACACTAAGCAGTTTATTTCTGTTGTGTGGATCCTCACAGTGACGCTGCAAGGTAGGTGCATTGACCCCACTCTGCAGCTGAGGCTCGGAGTTCAGCCGCGTGTCCAGGTCGCGCATGTTAGAAACTGTCATTTTCATTTACGTTTGATTCTATACTTTCCACTGGAGAGTGAGAGAAGAGGTTCTGTTTATTTTTTTCTAAGGAAACAATTTAAACCAGGGTAAAATGGGATCCATCGGACTGGACTCTGGAACTCAGGTAACTGCTTGGTGGGGAGGGGCGCGTGGAAACTCCCTTCCTTCAATCTGTTGGCTTATTTGAGTTCAGTGGTGAAACAAACAGATTCTTTTCAAGGGCTGGACCGGATCCCCAGAGAGGCCGCCTCTGCTGTTTTTCTGGAGCATTTTCAAGGAAGCACCTTGAAATGGCTTCACGTCTCTCATTGTCTAACTGTCCCAGATGGCTCCGCACTGCCCTGGGGGGCCGTAGCACACCAAGTGGCACCAGCATTGCTGGGAGAGGCACTTTCCCCCATCAGCCCAGGAGCAGCACATACCCCGCTTCCCAAAGTCACAGAGGAGCAGATAGCGTCAGAATCTGTCATGTCAGGAGGTGAATATCCTCTCCTGCTGCCTCAAGGGTAAAAGAGCAGGAAGAAAGGCTCATGCTTGGCCCTTAGTCTTCACTGGAGAGAAAGGGAAGGAACAGCTGAGGGAAGAGGAAGGGTAGGCCAGGGAGACAGGGAGGAAAGGAAGCCAGGAAAAAAAAAAAAAAGAAAATGGGCTGGGCTCAGTGGCTCACACCTGTAATCCTAGCACTCTGGGAAGCTCAGGAGGGAGGATTGCTTGAGCCCAGAAGCTCAAGAACAGCCAACACAGCGAGTCCTCGTCTCTACAAAAAAGAAAAGAAAATGGAAAACAGTATCAGCTACCATTTATTGAGGACTAATCCTCACAACAGCTTTCCACAGTGGGCATCATTTTACAAGTAAGGAAACAGGCTAAAAGCACTTAGGGAAGTTGTCCAAGTTCACAGTCAGTGACAAAACAAGGTTTGCATCCAATGGCCCAGGACTCCTCACTTGTAATTATCAGGCTAATTTCTCCAAAGCCAAGAGAGCCCCTCTGTGGGGAGAGAAACAACTCTCAGTTGAGTAGAAATATTTAGCATTGATCGATGGGATGGTGTGATTTAGGCAACCAGGACAAATTGTTCTGGTTTGGGGGCCTACGGTTCAGTGTCCCTGGTTTCTAGACAACCAGAGAGACTGAAAATGGAGCCCAGGAGAGTAGCTTTAATAAAAGGAACTTGAGTTATGTCTCCTGGAAAAGAGAAGCGGGAGGAGTGATTTAATAATCATGTCAAATCTCCAAGGATGGCAGCCGGCAGTTCTGTAGCTCCACTGAGAGAAGAACAAGAAGGAACAGGTTTCCAATCCAGTGAGAGGAATTAAAGTTGAGTACCTAGACAGATGTCCTAGCACTGCAGGCTTGTAGCTTCCACACCCTCGGTGTGGACTTTCCTCCTTGGGAGAGATTTGAACACCTTGCGGAGGCTCAGCTGGCCAGGCAGGCTCTGTCCTCCCAGGCAGGCTCCGTCCTCCCAGGCGCCGGGTGGAGAGGTGGGTGTCACCCCTGTCAGCAGGCTCTGCTGTGCCAAGTGCGTTTCACACAATGTAACAAAACTGATACAGGTTGGTGCTAAAGTAATTGCGGTTTTTGCCATTACTTTCGCACAAACCTTAATACTTAAGGAGTACAGGTCACTAGCCAGGCCTTGTGCTTTATGTGTATCTCCCACGCAGTCCTCTTAATGACACCGTGAAGTGGGCCTGGCTGTCCTCTCGAGTGAGGCATGGAGAGGTTGGGTAACTTGCCTAAAACCACACAGCCAGGGAGTGTCAGGACCAGGACCCAAACCCAGGCAGTTCACCTCCCTCACATCGGCCTCTTCTGTGCCTCTCTGACGTTCAAGCAGATAGGATCATCCCCATGTACAGATGACGAAACTGCGGCTCCGAGGGGGTATTTAACTTGCTATTCAGTGGTGGGGCCAGACCCGAGGTCCGTGTTTCACAGCATGTACTGGGACCTCTCCTCCTCTTCCTCCCCTTTCTGCTGGCCCCTCATTTCCTGCCTCGCCTCTGTGTGGTTGAGGTTAAGGTTTCTCTTGCTCACGGGCCTCTGCATTCCTTAGGGGAGCTGGAGAAGCAGCAGGGAACAAAGACACTCTCCTTCAAGCCCTGCGGAGCCCAGGGGGACCCACAGTCAAAGCAAGGATCGCCGACAGGTGAGCCTCGGCTCCGCTCAGGGCACCAGTCCCCATGGAGGCCACTCGGGGACCCTGGGTGTGGGTCCTGGGCAATCTGCAGGGAGAGGTGCCCATTCCCGTGGCGTGTTTCTTCCTGCTGAGGAGCGCCAGGCTTGCCTTCTTTAATCTCATGAGCTTTAGTGGTGGGAGTGAGGAGGAAGGCGAGAGAGAAATGTGTCTGTCCATTTTGCAAACTGCACCAGAGGTCTGGAGTCCGTGTGAGATGTCACTGTCTGCCCTGGAGGAGTCAGGCAAGAGTCCTGGCATCCTGGCCCCTGCAGGGAGGCCTTCCCTCCTGCAGCCAGGCTGTCTGGACGAGGCGAGGTCAAGAGAAGCCCCACGAGGAACACTCTCCAACCAGGCAGTGTAAGAGGGCAGGGTGACCAGAAGGATCTGGATCTTGCTCTTCTCTGTACAGTCCCTTCTCTAATGAGCCACAAGCACTTCCTGACCCCTGGCTCAGGTCAGCCCACCCCAAATCCAGAGAGACCCTCAAACTCCACTTCTCTAGTGGTTTCTCCAGTGGAATTGCTCACTCCAGCCGAGTCACACTGGCTCCAGAGCTGGCCCCTCCTTTGGCCTGCCCCAACCTTACCCCACCTGCAGGGGGCCAGGAAAGGTTTCCACCACCTCCCTCCACCAGCCCCAAATAAAGAGCATGAGGGGAGATGCATGAGAATTCAGTCTCATCCCAGTGAAATCCCAGCAAGCCATTCACAACTGTCCACCCATTAGTTAACTCGGTCACTTACTCTCACACTCAACAAACACTTCTCGAATGGCTGCTGCCCTGTGCAGAACACTGGAAAGCCAGGGTCATAGTGAGACGCCAGCTTGAGCTGAGAAGCTCCAGTGGGCCCCGTGTGGTCCATGACCCGCCACAGTCGGCCCTGAGTCCTGACTTGGAACAGGCAGCAGCGTGGGGACTAGTTACGGCAGCGAGGACATGAGATTCACTTTCCAAGCAGGACATGGGGCTCTTTTCGCTATGTGGAGATTCTGTGATGGAATCTTTCCTGTATGGGTTTGACCTGCCATCGTGCGTCCGTAATTCTCCACGCTGCCTGATCTCCACTGGCCTCTTCATTTCTATAAGGTCATAGGGCACGGGTTGCTGCTTTTGTTTTCTCAGCTGTGGAACCCCAGAGCCAGCCCTCAGCTGTGTGTCATTCCCTGCCATTCCTTCCTGCCTCTCTTTTGGAAGCTGCCCGCCCTGGTTAGGCCCAGATGCCTGTCCCCAGGGACGTGTCCCTTAGTCCCCTCCACAGCGGGGTCTTTCTCATTCCCAAACAATGGTGCAGCTCCCTCTCCTGCTGCAGGAAGCAGAGGGCTGAGCACAGCAGGGGGAAGCTGGCACCCCCAGGGGTTGGGAAATGAGAGGGGCTCCTGCGGGGGTCGGGGTGGAAGCTGGGAGTGACTCAGCCACAAAGAGCCAATGAGCTGTCCGTGGGGGTCCGCAGGGCCCCTGCTGCTGTGCCAGGCCGGCCAGAAGGCCCTCAGAGTAATTACAGAGCAGTTATCGGCTCTCACCGTGCCCGGCACTGCGGTGAGTGCTGTGCAGGCCTCAGCCCATTCAGTCCTGCCCCCTCAGCCAGTCTGCAGGGCTGGAGCAAAGAAGCGTGGCCCACGCTCAAGGAGCCTGTGATCCACGGAGGCTGATGAACGTGGCGCCCACAACCCAGGCCCCCTCCAAGCCTTTTACAGTTCGTACTGGGAAGGCTTTGACTGTGGGTAAATCAGATTCCACAATGCCAACATCAGAAAGAGCGGCAGCGATCTTCTAGTCTGCGGCAGCCCAGAGAGATGTAGCATCTCGCCCAGGTCACATAGCTCCTAAGTGGCAGAGTGGGGCTCCCAACCTCCGCCTCAGTGAGGAGCAGTGTGACCCCAAGTCTTAGCTGCAGAGATGCTTGAGGGGCACAGGGGAGGGGCAGGGGCTTGGCTCAGCCGGTGGAGAATGAGCCCTGTGCTCTTTGCATTCAAAGCCAAAAGGGAAGCCGCGCTCAGGGAGAGGCCGGCGGAGAGCACGGTGGAGGTAAGTGGAGCCCTGGTTGCCCAGGTGAGTGACTACCCTGCCCCCTTGTTCTTCTTCTCACCGTCTCTGTTGTTTCTCTTCTCAGGTATTAATCAATGCCTCCCCAGCCCGACTCACCATTTTACCAATTTCAAGAGATACAATTAAAAGTTACTGCTAGCATGGGTAATGCCACTGTTCCAGCGCCTAATTAAGCCACGAGCTCTTTCTCCCCTTTCCCCAGCCTGCTGCCCTCCGAGGCCGAGCTCCCAGACTAACACAGTGGAGACGGAGCTCACGGCACCCTAGGGCCATCCTTCCTGTGTGCCCCCAAATCCACCTCCCCAGCAAATGCTCACTGCTCACTGCTCCCCCAGTACTTGCTGTATCAGAAGACCCCACATCCCGTTCCCCAAGTCCTCCCACCATCCATAGCGGGGAGCCTGGGCTCCCTCGGAGAATTACCCCTTAGGCCCCAAACGATCACTTCTGGGGCAGACCCTGCCCTCTTGGACACCTGGGGCTAGGTTGGAGAATTGAGACTTGGGGGCAGGTGGGAGGGGGAACTCCTCCCCGGAACAACTGGTCCATCTGGAAAGCTGGCCATGGCGCAGGGATGTGTGTGCAAAAGAAAATGAGACAGAGTAGGGTGGGGCTGTCCTGAGGGCTGTCCTGGGGGAAGTGATAAGCTGAAGACTGTCTGTGGTGGAGGGGAGGCTGCCCATTTGGCTCCATGCCATACAGTGAGGGACTGCAGAAGACCCAGCAGCAGCTGGTCCCTGCCAAACCCCCCCAGTGCCACCTATGGGAGGAGTGTGCAGGTGCCCCTACAAGCCTCGTGAGCCCCACCCCTCTCCCACTGGGTCCTCTTGCACCCCAGTGAGTCCCAGCTCCACTCCTTTTCTGCCCGGCCTCCCGGGGCCACCGGCTGCTCATACAGACACCTCCCTTCGCAACCCTAACCTCGACCCGGAGGGGCCCCCATTAGGTGTCTTAGGAAGCTGCCCTACCCATCAGTCTGACTAAGCCCTGGGAAGCAGCAGGATACCCCGGGGGAGCTCAGTGTCTTCTCTCTCCCCCATGGCCCCCCACCCCCCACACACCCGTGTCTGGAGGAGGCACCTTTACAAGGAGGAGCTTCCTGCCCCAGCCGCTGACAAGCCCCCAGGGTGGGTATTCTATTCCCCGCCCCCCTCCACTCCCCATCCTCCACAGCTGCCCATTCTTGAGCCTTGCAGATAAGCACACCCGTGCCCAGCCCTCTGTTCTGTTCTGCCAGCCCTGCCCTGCCCTGCCCTAGCCTGAGCTACCCAGGGAGGACAACCAACCCCACGCACTCCTCCCTCCTGCCCTAACAGCATATGGCTATCTGCAAGGCTGCCACCCTCAGCTAGCTCAGGGCCCTGCCAGCCTCTGCTCTCCCACGCAGAGGGCAGCCTCGCCTCCCACGGCCTCAGCTGGACCCCAGGCTCTCTCTCCTCTGCCCTCTCTCTGCCGTTGCTGGCCAAGCCCCTCTGGCAGGTGCTTCTCCATCTTCTCTGAGCTGTTCTCTGACCTGCTGCTCATGTTCCATCCTCTGTCTCCCCACTCCCCTCATTCTTTCTTTCATGAGCAGGGAGGTGAGAAGGGGGTCAGATGAGAGGACATTTTGCTGTCACTTCCTGCTTTTCACTTACTGACCACTAAAGAGGAAGGATCCAGAGACTGCGGTGGGGCCAGGGATGCAGTGGGGGGACCAGAGCAGGGGAGGTAAACGGGAGGCGCAGGCTGTGGCCCAGAGGGGGCGCGGCACGGGGAGCTTCAGGGAGAAGAAGGACGGCTCAGTGGGTCTGGACTGGGACAGCCAGACATTCGCCTGGGGAGAGGCCGCTGCGAAGTCCAGGCGGAGGGAGGCAGATGAGCACAAGCCCGTCCTGGCTGTCTCAGGCCCCGTGTCTCCTGGGGAGGAATTCAGAATACAAGCAGGAGGGGAGAGGAGCCCGTGCCCTCCAGCGGCTTCTGCCTGAGTGAGGGTCCTGGAGGGATCCCCAGAGGCAGGTGGGCCCCAGCCATGCTCTCTGCCTGCCATGTCTTGGAAGGACAGTGAGGGGCTCAGGGCACCTTCGTTTGTTTAGGGAGACCTCAGGCCTGGAACATGTGCTGAGGTTGGAGGCTGAGA